>NC_000002.12:59584291-59887321 GCF_000001405.40 Homo sapiens
AATTATCTGATGCTTCAAAAATAAATCTTGTGTCCAAAATTCAAGTCTTTTCTTTCTTTTTCTGTTTCCATGCTTCTATAGATTGCCAGTTGTTCTGTGTAAATTACCATACCAACTTCCCCAACTTGCTAATCCCTTCACCTGTGCACCATAAACAGGGAGGCAAGGTAATGGTGCTGATAACAACAGCTACCACATCTGCAGGATTCTTGGCGTGCACTGGACAATACTCCAAGCACTTTATATACACAGGATCAACTCACTGAATCCTCACAAAAATCCTTCAAGTGTTATTATTCCCATTTTACAGATAAGGTACCTGAGACATAGAGTGGTTAAGGGACTGACCCAAAAGATCTCATAGCCAGTGAATAATAGAGCTGAGATAGAGGTCCAGTGCTTTAGACTTGTTTCCTGGAATCATAGTAGGTTGAAATTTGTTTCTATCCTTTCTCACCATTTGACCTTGGGCAAGATATTTGATTGTTCTTAGTTTCAGCTTCCTCATCTGGAACATAAAGATAATTATCCATGTTTTATATTTTTCTTTCTTTGTGTTTGGTGAAAAATAAAGTTACAGTATATAGAACACCTGGCATCAATTAAATACTCAATAAATGATAGCTACTACTATTAAATATGGCCTCCTAACAGTTGGAAGCAATCTCATGAAAAGTTAAAATGTTTGGAGAGAATTGTAAGTAAGCCAAGGTCCAGTGTGGCAAAGGGGGAGTAAGAAGAAGGAGGGGAAGGAGGGCACTCAAAATTAAAAAATGGCTCTCAAAATTGATTTGCACAACTTTCAAGAAGCTGACACCTAGATATTCAACCTCAGGATCCAGAATGCCCCCTGGTGGCCTGGGGGCCCTCTAGCCCTCTGACTTGGGGTAAATGGGAGTAGCTTTCTCTTACTGCATAGGTGGGTCTCCAGAGCCACTCAGAGGAAGGGGCTAAAAAGGAACCTGCTTCTCAGAGAGCAGCCACCTGAGCGCTCTGTTTCTTTTCAACACTAACTTTATTAAGATATCAGAGCTGGCACAGGTAGGTGGCTGCAGGGGAAACCATGAGCGGGTAAAAAGGTGGGGGGAGGCAAGCACTTAATAAAAGATATTTCTTTTCCTTTTTTTAATCTAAGTCTGGCAGAAACACCGTTAAAGGCTGACTGAGAGTTGGTGATTTTTTTTTTTTTTAAGAAAAAGCACTTTCTCTTTCTAAAGAGAAAGAAAGATGCCCATTTTCCCCAATTCACTTAGTGCACAGAATGTTTTCCTCTAGGTATTCATCCAATTAACTGGTCAGACAGCTGGAATCTGATACAGGGAATAAACAATTCTTCAAAGAGAAACCACTCAGCGCTTTTCTTTGGAGAACTCTCTCCATCCAAATACAACCCCCTACCCTCCCCCTTTTCTTTTTTCCCCTTGTTCCCTATAATCCTGGGTCTGGCCTGGATGTCACAGCTTCAGAACTGAGAACTGTCATCTGCGGTCTGCCACTCTCCCTACCCTGCCATGAATGACACTTTAGTTCTGTGTTAATTGCCCTACTGCAGCTCGGCTATCAGCCAGGGCCTGTCTCAGATTTACCGATTGCAGACGTGAGTAGAGTGAGTGAGCAAGCATGCAGGGGTCGGGGCTCAGAGGAACCAAGTTCAAGGGCACCAAATGGTACAGACGCATAAACAAGGGAATGGTATATAAGCAATAAAGACATAAAGGTTAGGATCAGGACTAGCAGTACAATAAACAGCTGTGATAACCCAGTTTGTTTACAGATAAAGAATTTACAGTAAAATCCTCAACTTGAAGCCTACATTTGTTAACACTTTAGGAGACATATACTGTCTTTACATCTTTTCTTGCTCCATCTCTGTGCACTCTGCAAACATCTGTGGCCATCTCAGGGATTTTTCTCCTCTTTTCTTTCCAATATTAGAAGTGTATAGTCATCACATCAGCCAGAAATAGATGCTGAACCCAAAAATCTCAGTGTTTGGTAGCAGTCAAAATATCACAGCAGCTACAAATTCCAAAAGACAGCTACTTCTAGCTGCTACTGCTCTAGTGTCCCATTAAATATCTCTATTTTTCAAGCTGCAAAGTGTTCTTTGCACTCCATTTTTCCTAATTTTATTTTAATATACGTAAGTAGTGTAAGTAACATTTCATTAGAATGCCTATAAATTTGGCTCTGTGTATGTTGTGATAACTTTCTTTTTAAAAATAGATTTTTGAGCATAATCAAGTATTTGGTGAAATCACCACAGTGCTCCTTAATCATCCTAGGAGGCCCCCATCAGAAGTACAATATATTGTACTGTAACTATTGATCCAAATGGCTACATTTCTAAAGCAGAAAATGATTGTGTGAGAGCAGTGCAGAGGTGCAGTAAAATGCCCTCCAGTATATAAAGACATAAAGATTAAAGTCACCCTGTAGATTCCCTTTAACTCCTCCAAATCCACTGTGGAATGTGTTCTTTTAGGATAAATCAGAAATGTGGTGCAAATTAACATGACAGGGATGGCGTTCATAAATAAAAATGCTTTATTGTCCAGACTAGACCAAGTTCATTTTGCTTTAAATACACAGAAAGATGGTTAATTAAAACCACAGTTGTCAAAAAAGGAACATCTGAATATCTTGGAGGCAAAACAACACCCCCAAAATTTGTCAGACAGAACACGTATTCTGGATAAGGAACCTAGACGTCAGGACACAGGATGCCCTACAGTGTTAATACCAACAGTTTTCGGGGCTATGGATAGTCTTCAATTTCTATAAAGTTAGAATGTTTTCCAAAGACAGGTGGAATCTGATGAATGAGATTTTAAATTGTGCTTTGCTGAAGGGCGTTTGTTGTTTAACCATTTCTTGTCTCTGCCTCCTGCAAGTTGCCACTTAAATAGTTTTTAAAGAAACCATATTTAAATAATACCCTATAGAGTTTGGTGTATAAGGTCTACTACCAAATTAACAGTTAAGTAACTTTGCGATAGAAAAGGATCTTTCTGGTTTTGATTTGGTTTCATGCTGGAAAAAGCACAAAGGAATTCCATGTTTTAAAATAGCCTCAGAGCTCAGATGACGGAGCCAAGACTTGGCCTAAACATATTGAAGTTTAGGGGAATTATTTATTATCACTTCAATTAATAAACCAGCTTGTTTTCACCAATGTTCCCTTGTGTGTTGAAATGCCAGTTTGTGTCAAAAGGAATCCATACATTGATTGCACGTACAAAGATCTGACGGAAGAATTTTAATGACTCTGTGGTGCCGCCAATGGTACCAGGCTTGGCCTTACAAGTAGCAAGTAGAATTGCCATTTATATTTCAAAAGATTTAAGGGCCTTGTGGAGGTCTGTGATCTGCAGAGGAAAATGTTACACTGAGCTGAAGGTATGCATGTGTTCTCCCTCCGTCGTCGTTCACCTCTGAGCAGATGTTCAGGGTGAACCAGGCAGGAATGAGAGGCCCAGCAGGACTCACTTCACTCAGCAGATCTGTGGCAGAAGAAAACATTCCTGGAGAGAGCTTCCCAGCCCACGGGAGGATCAGCAGTGCCTAAAGCTGGTCCTGAAACTAGGTTGGCTTTTTAAAACAATGAAGAACTCGAGGAGCAATAAAAGAGAAAGAGATGAATGAGAACTAGAGAGAAGTGGGAGTTGCTGGGGAAGAAGCAAGGAAGAAAAATGAGAGAGAGGAAGGGAGGGATGGAGGGAAACAGGCAGAAGCTCCTTTCTTCTGCCTCCAGGTAGTTGCACAAGAACAAACATCATTTGGTTTTGAAGTGGAGTGTATTACATCATTATATGATTATTTGGGAATTCATTAGTTTCTCTGATCAACACAGACATGTCTACAAATGATGTATTTGAGTATTGGATTAATCCTTCTCTGAGAGGCTTTTGAAGGGCAGCAAAGAATTTTCATTGAGTAGCACCCTGGCATCACCTTATTCTTTTCTTTCATCAGTCAGAGTCATTTGTGAAGGCTTGGGACCTGGGATATACTCATACAGCTGAGAACTATATAGCTGTGGTTTAGAAATAACGATTCTCTGACCCGGCGAGCAGTGTACAACTACAGAAGTTTGTATTCTATTAAGAGTTAATAAATGACCAAGATCTGGACTAATCCCCTGCCAGGGTTCATTTTCATTACAGGTTCCTTCTATTTTCCCAGTGCCTTTTGCTCTGCCCTTCTTGCTACATATGGAAAACCTATATCAAGATGGTTGTCATGGCAATGAAAAGATTTGCATGTGTCTTATCTATCTATTTAAATACCTTCTTATGGTTTATAACTACTATAATACATCCCTCCAGCTCTCCTCATCACTAATTTAGAGCTAGCCTGGTGCGTCTGAGGTCATCGATACCATCTGAAGCATGTTGTCTAGACAACTATGAAGCCACTGACCATGGGGGTAATTGCTTTATGCAAATAAAAAAGGTACAGTGGTGAAATGTGCCATGGGCAGCCTTGAAATCTGAATGAACAGCTGTGATCATGCACCCTCTGTGGGAATTTGTTTCAGGAGAGGCACAATGGGAAAGAAGTTGCATTTTCCATTCCCTGCCCACTCCCTTCTTTGTCTCTTTCCTTGCCATACTCTACCAGTTTCGGAGGTTGAATCATTATTTCAAGGTTTTAATTATACATGCACTCAATAAAAATTTCACAAACAGTGAGTGGGTCAAGTAAAAATTTCAAGTACAATAAGATTCTAATTTATTGGTCAAGGATTCTCAATGTTCTCTTTGGTCTTCCTACATGATCTGGACAATTTCCTGTCATTTGACAAACTAATTACAATCTTTATTATTTAAAAAAAGTATAGTTCACATTTGTGATAAAATACCATAAAATAATAGTCTTCCAAAGGAACCATAAAAAAACTGAAAGGAGCCCTGTACCCCTACAACACCCTATAAACATAGCAGTGCTCTGGAAGTAAAACCAACTTATTCACATTTGCTCTTGTAATACAAGGATGTGGCATTTTTAGACCTCTTTTGCTAAAACCTAATTTTAAAGTTCCTCTAGGAACTGCTTGGTAGCATTCCTCTAGTAAATTGTGATTCTGTGCTTACAGAGATTTAAAAAAAAAATTATCAAGAAAGTCTGGTAGTTCTGTAATGCAGTGATTTTCTATTTGCTTTTGAATTCTGTGGTCATACTCACAAGCAAAGGATTCTTAAAGATAATTTATATCATTATTCGTAAGCTTAGGTAATGCTAACCTGCACTTGGAGTAGCACATTAAGGACCATTTTACCCTGACAATAAAGTGAGACTGTGTTTACATATTGGACTACAATCACTGTTTGACTAATCTGTAAAGGGTAGATTTTTCTATCGCATTTCAATAGCTCATTTACTTCAAACTGTTGTGAACTTTCTAAAGATGTGTTTTCATTTATAATAGCAGATCTTGCAGTGTGGTAATCTGGAATTGAAGTTTCAGTGACAGATTCATTCAACTAGCACTTTGCATGAGGCATTACTGCAAACATTATTTTTTATGAAAAAAAAAATATAAAAGTGACAAAACCTTCCAAAGATAATTTCTGCAATTTAGTAAACGAAGGATTTCAAGTCAGGCATCAGTTTCCGGGTGTTTTTCATAATGGATTTCACAGGAGATGACCTGACAGGCAATCTCATGATCTGACTCGTGCTTTGAGGCATATATACAAACTGCCGTCAAAAGCACTGGGAGTCACCCTCCCTTTCATAGGACATGCCAAGCAAGTTAAGCACTGCAAATGTCCAGAGGTCCAGCCTGACCCCTTCACCTCCTGTCTGGGAAACATTCCTACGCCAAGCCCTTCATTCTTGACAACAAACAGAACAGGGCAGTGGAGCTTGTTTTCAAAGGATGGAAAAGGAGGGGAATGGCAATGAATGAAGCATATCTGGTAAACAGGGGCAGACAGTGACTGTGAATCAAATTGCAAACCCTGTGCCTTGCCAGAGAATAGGGGAGAAGAGAAAGAAGAAGAAAGGGAAGAGGAGGAAGATATTAGTGGCCACTGAAGTAACCCTACCTTTGACTTCCTCCTCAACTCCCTTTTTATCTGCCTTGCCTTTTCTCCTCCAGCTTTACTGCTTCATCCATATCCACCCCACCCCAACACAGTATATTATATAATATTATATAATATTATATGTGACACACTGCTCAAATTTTAGTTTATAAAAAAATTAATTTCTGTAGAGGTCTCAGAGTGTGGCTGTCAATACATGCTATCACAGCAATGTATCTGAATACCCAGTTGTTCTTCCAGAGGCAGTTATTTATGTCCCCTTACACTTAGAATACATCCCATTGAATTACAATGTTGAGGTTTTATTCCCATAACTCCTATTAGCAAGTGTCCAGCACCTCATAAAGGCCGGACACTCATTTTTTCTAAACCAGGATCGTTAATATATATCTGTTGTTGAATAAATTAATCCATCAGGTAGACATAGGTTATTTCTATGCATGCTAATAAAAACAGAATTGGTTAAGCCAAAAGATACACTTTTACCTCAAAGGATATGAGTAGTATATGGTATAGTTAATCTATTTTTTTTTTTTTTGGAAGTGCTCACTTCACTGACATCTTTAGTCAGTGGGTAATAACTTATCAAACAGAACCAGCCAATATGGTGTTCATCAGCTTCACTTCACTAGAGTGGCCTGGGAGGTCAGGAGAAAAATGTACCAGGGAAGGATTCAGAGGAACAAGATTGTTGTGCTGGCCTTGGAACTTACTAACATCACTCTGATCTGTAACATTTTATCAAATAGAAACAGCTGCTTTGCATCTGGGCAAGTCACTTAAACTCCCTTGACCAGTTTCCTCACTTGTGTGTGAAAGTGCTTTGAAAAAGCTGAAGTACCATAATAAATGCATGGTAATATTATCAGAACAGTTCATCACTATTACCACCTCTTGGACCAGTCAAGTATAAGGTTGACATTTACATGGCTGCAATACACAAATGAATTTTTAAAAATGTGATTAATTTTATAACTTTATTTTTTATTTTATGATGTTATTAACAACATTTTAAACAGGGAGATTTTACCACTAATTATTTGTGAAATAGACAAATAAATCTGCTGATATCCCAAGGCAAAAAAACCCATAAGAATTATATAAAATTAAAAGCCAGAATAAATTAATAATTTTTTTATTTTGTTTTCTATTTTTTTAGGACATTATTCAGAATTGAGGAAGTGAGCCTCAAACTCAACTTTATTTTTCATAAAGTTTTAGAATATAGTTAATGCAGCTTAGTGTTTTAAGTCTCTTTCTAAATAAAAATCAGACCACTAGCAGTACATTCCATTGAGTCATATTATGCTGCTCGAAAGTTTTACGTCATTTGGATACTTCTCTATCTGAATTAGGTCCTAGACCAAAAGTTTTGTGTTACAACTGTCTACTTATCCAATTAATAAAAATGTTATTATTTCCAATGTAATGTTATTGGGGTTTATATTATTAAACTATCTCCAAAGACTTATGAGAAAAGAATAGGAAACAAAACTACTATCCATTATAACTTTGTAAGTATACATGTATGTTTAAATTTAACAACTACAAAAATTATTTGAAACAAAATCGTCAAAACCTGTTTACTCTCATCAAAAATGTTTTGGATAATTTAGGCAATTAGCTAGATATATTCAATAGGACTTAAACCTATTTCAAAGGATGGAAGAGGAGGGGAATGGCAATGAATGAAGCGTATCTGGTGCAACAGGGGCAGACATTGACTGTGAATCAAATTGCAAACCCTGTGCCTTGCCAGAGAAGAGTGGAGAAGAGAAAGAAGAAAGGGAAGAGGAGGAAGATATTAGTGGCCACTGAAGTAACCCTACCTTTGACTTCCTCCTCAACTCCCTTTTTATCTGCCTTGCCTTTTCTCCTCCAGCTTTACTGCTTCATCCATGTCCACCCCACCCCAACACAGTATATTATATTATATTATATGTGACACACTGCTCAAATTTTAGTTTATAAAAGAAACATCAATTTCTGTAGAGGTCTCAGAGTGTGGCTTGTCAATACATGCTATCACAGCAATACATCCGAATACCCAGTTCCTCTTCCAGAGGCAGTTATTTCTTCGTGCCCCCTTACACTTAGAATACATCCCACTGAATTACAATCTTGAGGTTTTATTCCCATAACTCCTATTAGCCAGTGTATTCTAATTCCATTTGTACAGATAACAGATAAAATATTAAATTTAATTGAATTGCCTGGAGAATGGACCTAATTTTATATTTCATAAATTATCAGAGAAGAAATTCAGACCTTCAGGGTCCCTATGACCCCTCGTTTTGAAACTGGCCCAATTGTCCAATAGAACTGATGTTTATGCTTTCTTTTGAATAAACATAGAAATGGACCCTCCAAGTTTTAAAACATGAGAAAGTTACATTTGTCTTATCAGAGTTCCTTTCTCAGGAAACCAACGATCAGACCTCCCAGACAATGCCAAGGAACTAAAACTTACCAGATCACCAAATCTGGTCAAGGAGACACCAAACTCCTAACCCATCATGATTGCCTAAGCAACTACCTGCTTCCTGTTGACCAACTCCTCTTCCCTCTCCCTCCCTAATTCCTGTTGTCTCATACATAGTTATATTTTTCCTCTTCTTTTATATAAACCACGAATTTTAGTAAGCCAAAGAGGCAGATGTGAGATTGATTTCCTGGGCTCCTTGGCTGCACTACCCAAATAAAGTCTTCATCCTTGGCAGTACTCACTGTCTCAGTGATTGGTTTTCTGTGCAGTGAGCAATGGGACCTAGACCAAGTCCCTGGCATTTCAGTGACAATTTCAGTGGCAAGGTCAAAGTCTATAGGCAACCATCTCTTCCTACACAAGAGTTTCTGACTTGAGTCAAAATATATTAAACTGTAGGTGGGAAAAGCTGTAACAATGAACAATGTCCAGTGTTGAGGAAGGTACTGAATGATATAAACCAATCTACTAATAAAAGGAGATTAAATTGACAACCTGCACAATGTGCACATGTACCCTAAAACTTAAAAGTATAATAAAAAAAAAAATAAATAAATTGACAACAATGTATTTGAAAAAGTCTAGAATTACCTGGTAAAATTGAATATGCATATATCTTGCAATCCTTCTACTCTTAAATACAGAAACTATTGGGCACCAGAAAATATAAGCAAATGTTTAGAGCAGTATTGTACATAGCAGCCAAACATTATAGAAAAAAGTAAATATCCATAGTCCAGAAAGTGAGTAAATTTACTGATGTATAGTTGTACAATAAAATACTAAATAACAGTGACAATGAGTGAAATACAACTACAAGCATGTGTAAATCTTTAAAAATTAGTGTTAGATAAATAAAGCCATTAAAGAATATATACAATATGAAACCATATGCATAAAGATCAAAAATAAGAAAAAACATTATTTAGGTATATAAACAAGGTGGCAAAACTTTAAAGAGAAACGAGTATATTTACACAAAATATAAGTAGCAGTTATTTCTTGGTGGGGAAGAGAGTCATTGGTAAAAACAGTGATTGCTAAGCATGGAGTAGGTGAAAAATTCCAAGAAAACCATGCACCATAAGATGAGGAGGCTAAAGTCCTGATTCTCTGGGATAACAGCAGATGTGACAGGGGTGGGGAAATGGAAGGTGGAGGGGAAGACATTTCAGGCAGGCAGAAGAAGAGGAGAAAAAGGGACAAAAGGTACCTAGAAAAAACATAAGAAGAAAGGAAAAGCAAGAAAGTGTGTTGTCTTTGAGAGCCAAGAGAGAAGACAGGGTCAAGAATCCGGAATGGCCAATGGTGTCAAAAAATAAAGACTGAATGGTGCTCATTAACTAAGTAATCAAAAAGTCCTGGGGCAAATTTTAAAGCTGTTTCAGTTAATTAGCAGTGATGAAGACAGATCAATGTAGATTGCAAAATAAATGAACAGTAAGAAAAGAAAGATAAAGTTTTGTAGACAACTTGAAGAACTTGACTGTTAAGATAGAAGACAGGGTAGTAATTAGTGAAGAACTTAGGATTATATAAGTTTTGTTTGCTTGCTTGTTTGTTTTAAAATTAAGAGACTTGGGCTTGTATGGAATGATAGGAAAAATTGATAGAGAAGACAGGTAAAAATACAGGAGGGAGAAAGCCTCATCAGAACATAAAAATGAATTCCCTCTCTGCCTGAACATAGTTAAAATTTTAATGAACTAATTCTCACAGAGATTAGAATGATACACATTTGCCTTTCAAATGAATGCCAGACATCACACACTCAATGAATAACAGTCTTGAAAGTCCAGAAGCTTGTGGCAGTGTGTTTTGTGCTTGCTATCACATTCCAGAAAACAACTTTGACTTCTATCTCCCACCATGTTTGCCTGGTTAAAAAAATTACCTTCTATTTCTAAAGGTGAAACTAAGAACAAGTTATTTTAATCTAATTGTGTGAGACTTTACACAGGAAACATGAACTCACCAGAAGGAAGTAAAAACAAAGGCAAGCTTATAGCAGACTCCCACCACTTCTGCATCTAGTGAAGAAAGTGAAGGTTCTTAATGCAGACGGCAACAAGGGCTAGAAGCCGCACCACTCCAGGCCTCATACTGAAGTCTCCCGTTCGAGGAGGAATATGGTGTGCGTGGAGGAAAGAGTAAGGGAAGTTAGCATATATCACCACAGCCTGTGAGAGTCCTCTCTCAGAAGCTCTGGCCCAGCCTTACCCAATCAAGATGCCAATTCTGTGAGCAGGTCCCAGTGTATGGAGGAGTAATTGCATGGAACAGAACTATTAAAATGGTTTCAGCTTTTGGGGGGACTTAAATGGGTAGAGTACAACCTTTTATTGAGAACAGATGGGACACAGGCTAAGCTCCCATATACAAATAACCCACAGATTTTCTAAGATTATAAACCTAAAAGGCAACTACCCTCTGAAAATTCAAACATAGCACAGGCCTAGTCAATCTACAGCCATGTAACAAAATTGTACCATCTTTTTTATAATCTTGGGACTGACAGCCTATTGACTCAAGTGAGAAATCCTTGCTTTAAAGTAGGATTTTACAGAGGGCCCCAGTCTCACAAGGAGACATTTATTAGGAACCATTATCACTATAGCCCCAGTTTGAAATGAAAAGTTCAGCTGCCTCCAAATATGTGTGAATACAATTGTGAAAGTCAGAATTCTAAGATGACCCCTAATGACCCACATGCTGTCACTTGTTTCTAACCCACAGAATATGGCAAAGGTAACGGGACATCATTCCTGTGATTACTTTGCATGGCAACGATGGAAGAATTTTACTGATGTAATTAAAGCATCTAATAAAAAGACTTTAAGTAAATCAAAACCCTGATTATCCTAGATGAGCCTAACGAAATCAGGTGAGTTAAACAACTCAGGTGGTGAAACAAACTACCATGAATTCTATAGCTGTGAGAAAATTAATTCTGCCAGCAACCTGAGGGAACTTGGAAGCATATCTTTCCTTGGTCAAGTCTCTAATAAGAACACAACTCAAACAACACCTTAATTGCAGGCTTTTGAGATCCTAAGCAGAGGATCCAACTGCTCTGTGCCCTGACACCTGAGCCACAGAAAGTGTCAGGTGATTCATGTTTGTTGTTTTAAGGTAAGTTTGAGGTAATTTGTTAAGCAGCAGTACAGAACTAATACAACTGCCAAATCACTCCTGGGTCTATCTTTGGCTCTATGTCAGTCAGGGTCTTAGTTATAAGCCACAGAAGTCAACTCTGGCTAATTTATTAAAGGTTATCGCATAGCTCATAGAATCTCCCAGAGGTCCAGACCAGGTTTGGAACCTATGCATGTAGGAACAAGCCTCCAAATCACACAGTAGGAGAAGCCCCATTGAGATAGCATTGCTGTAGCCACTGCACGCAGACACCAGTTTACACCATCAACATCGCTCCAGCTGGTCATGGGAGCCTACTGCTTGGGTCACTGTTGCTTGTGGAAACCACATGCAGCCACTGACTGCTGCCAGCTACATGAGAATGACACCTGCAAGATCCCTACTTTTCTATAAATAAATTACTAGCTTTAAAATCAATGAGAAGCCAGTGTTCTGAGCTGCAATGACCAGGTCAGCTCCCTAAGGTAGAGGCCCTTTACCTAGTTGCAAGGGCACTTACGAAAGTGAGTATCTGGAATTTTTAGCTTGCATATTAGGAAGCAGGCCCTATTAATTAAAACAGGTATTCTCCCAAATAAAGAAAAAGGTTTTAGTTGCTAGGAGGCCAAAACGAATGAAATGTTCACTAAACAAGTTATGCCCCCTGCCTTCCTGAGATTCAAGTTCATTTTGGGTAATTTCAGATTGGTTTCAGAAAACAGCCCTCTCCAAGCTCCAGTCCCAAAATATATAATCCTGAGAATATTGAAATGAATAAAGCTATTATAACTCAGGACAGAGCAAATGTAGCTCTGAGTCAAATTATTGTCTTGTTTGGTTTTCTGAAAGTGTTAAATCACTGCATATAAGACCTTCAATGGTTTCCATGGAATATGTTTTATTAATCTGGTAATGATATTGAGTATTTGTTTTCTGGAGCAGGGCTGCCAGGATTCTAGACTGAAGATACTTGTCCGTGACTATTATCCCATCACTAATCATCGCTGATAAACATTGACAACATTAATCAGCTTCCATCTGATCACAATCCCCCATTTAACCACAGCAAAATCTCTGTTGTTTATGTACTGGCTTCTTTCCTTCTTCATTCATTTTGCTCATTTAAAGCCTCCCTTTCTGGCCTCTTCATTCCAAACAGATCCTGACAAATGGTGAAAGGCAGGGATATATCCCAGGATTCAAATTGCACTGATATTGAATCAGACACAACAGAGGAGGGTGGAAATATACCAAAGGGAAATACCCACCCATCTAACCCCTGTGATAACACATCATAGTGGAATGTGTGTGTATTAATTCTACTCCCAGAAGAGGTTAAGAGGGTGATGGGTTTGATCCCATGGTATAGCTGAAAGGGTGACTAAGAAAAACTCCTTACTGATGTGAACAGTGCTGGTAGATTAAAGTTTAGGATACTTTCTATGGACTGAAAACCCTCCATAGAGAAAAATGATGCTGCAGAGAAGAAAGAAGGGGAAAGAGCAACAGTGGTGGTTGAGGAACAATATGTAGAGATAGGAAGTATGATTGAAGACTGTAACAGAACAAACACAGTCAACAAAAAATGTGGGATATTAAAATAATTATTATGGCATTTGACTTTTTTTAGATGTAAGAAATATGCCCATATAAAATATGTATTAAACAGAATTTGGTGGTTAACAATCTCCAGGGTCCCTGGCTTTCTCACACAACTGACCCCTATAATAGTAACAGAAAGAAGTGGACAAAATAGCAAAGCTCATAGAAAAGTACACCTTGGCCCAGCAGTGACCTTTATAACCAGGTACAGCAAGACATGTCTACCCCTGAATATCTCACAGGCCGTGTTTCCTTTTCTGCTTCTACTCTTGAAGCAGGTGGAATGTGGTGCGTGCACAGATGGGGTGTAGCAAGAGAAGAGAGGAGTTCTTGTTTGCTTGTTGGTGAGATTTTTGTGTGTATCTGACTCAGTTGACTATAGAGACTTTCCTTGTTGCTTTGCAGTTGTCTATAGCACCAGGTGACCCAAGTCCACTGGGAAATGGATTTTCCCAGAATTACAAGTGAAATCACAGTTTAGCATAATTTCCAAAGGAAAAGTCACATGTTGAAAATTGTCATTTTGGCATGTCAAAACTGGCAGAATATTGTAAATCTCTTATTTTCTGTTGAATCCTGTGGGCACTGTGGAAGATACCGGGGTGCAGAGGTGAACAAATGGACCCTAAGCAGGGCTGCATATCACTCAGCCTCGTAGGAAAGAGAGACATTACTCAAGGTACTAGTTCGTTTTCACACCGCTATGAAGAAATATCTGAGACTGGGTAATTTACAAAGAAATAGGTTTAATTGACTCACAGTTCCGCATGGGTAGGGAAGCCTCACGAAACTTACAATCATGGCAAAGGTGAAAGGGAAGTAGGCACCTTCTTCACAAGGCGGCAGGAGAGAGCAGAGCAAAGGAGGAACTTTCAAACACATAAAATAATCAGATATCATGAGAACCCAGTCTCACAAGAACAGCATGGGTCAAACTGCCCCCATGATTCAATCACCTGCTTCCCTCAACACGTGGGGATTACAGGTCCCTCCCTCAACACATGGGGATTACAATTCCAGACAAGATTTAAGTGGAGATACAGAGTCAAACCATATCACACAACTATTCACACAAATGATTGTATGGTTACAAAATGTGACAAATGCCAGCAACTCACTAGGAGAGTCTATAACAGAGGACCCAGAGCTGGGGATGGATGTCAGGAGAGTCTCACTGAGGACATGCAGAGAGCAAGAGGATGGGTGATCGGGGTGGGAAGAGGACAGAGCAGGAAGCAGTCCATTCTTCACAGTATGAAGCTCTGTGCCAAGTATCAGAGACCAAGAAAATCATGCTGATCATGTCAGCCTTCATGGAGCCCACCTTCTAATGGGTGAGATGGTAATAAACAGGCAAACCAATACAAAAAGAATAATTTCAAGTAATCATAAGTATTCTCATGGATGTAAACAAGGGATTGAGATGGAGAATAACCAAGGGTAATAACCAGAATGGTCAGAAAGGTCCCACTAAAAAGGTGACATTTGTGATAAACATAAAGGGTAGGAAAGAGTTTCATACACAAGGAATGCAAGGAAGAATATTCTAGGCAGAGGACACAGAATGAGCAAAGACCATGTTATCAGAAAACACTTGCCAGTAGCTCAGAAGAGTGAGTGAAGAGGAGCATAATCAGTGATAAGGCTGGAGATAGAGCACAGAATTTGGACCCTCTAGGCGTGGCAGGAGATTTGGCTTTTATTATAAGAGCAAAGAAAACTAAAACGTCCTACGTATAGCTATGATTGTTCAGGTATTACAGGTTGTAGTATGTGCTCCCATTAATTAATTTAATTTTCCACCACACTTTGAGTGCACAGACATAACCTCCATGTAGCTAGCTGGATACTTTACATGTGTTTTTGAGATAGAGGCAATATTTTTTAAAGGCATGTACATTTAAAAATAGGTAATAGTATTAGAACTAAAGAGTGAGACTGGAGAAGGAGATGCAGCAGCCATAACTATTTACTGGGCACTTTCCAAGGGCCACATCATGTCACTCATGACTGACATGTATTGCCTCATTTAATCTTCACAACAAATCTAGGAGGCTGGTACCATCATCAACACCACATTTAAAGAGGAGGAAAATGAGATACAAAGAAATGCTCATTGAATATCCCTCCATGGCACTATTGGATTGACAGTTTTGACTGATCGTATTGCTGTACTTCCAAGTGGAAAACGTAACTTAGCATAATTTTTGAAGGGAAATACTGTTTCATATTTCTGCTCCAAAAAATTCACCATTCATTTTACTAACCCCAAACATTAAACTGCAGGTGAGGATCCAGAGCACTAATTGCAGCTTTTTTATTAGTTAGGTCTTGGGAAAATCTTACCATTTCTGGGCTTCTGTTTTATTCATCTGTCAAAAGAGTAGTTTGACTTAGATTTGCCCAGTAAAATACAGGTCACCCAGTTAAATGTAAATTTCAGATAAACACATGAATAACTTTTTAGCACGTCCCAGGCAATATGTGGCAATGTCTGTTTTATGCAAATATGATGTGCTTACTTTTATTTGCTAAATCTGCGCACTCTGATTTGGCTAGTCTAAATGGTCAGGACTGGCCCAGCAAAGCATGTCAATCCATCACGAAATGTTTAAGTCACTGGTGAAATGAGAAACAGCGGAACAATTAATTTAGTTATTCAAATTGCTAAATGTGTTCATTTTAAAGGACTTTCTTTCTCAGATGTTGTCCTTTTGTCTCTTAGGAAATTAAAATATTGATTTTGCATGAAATGATAGTTTTTGTTGTTGTGAGGCAGGATAAGTAAGGATAGGAGCATACTGACTTGTCTCCTTGTGTAAAGCAGTCTGGGCTCCTTTTTGCAGTGAGCTCCTCATCGCTTGCACCCTCGTGAATCAGCACCTTATTCTGCAAGGTAAGTAGTCCTACAGGATACCAGCAAATTGCCAGATGGTTACAAGCTCCTGATACACAATATGGCCTGGGAAAGAGAACAAAAGCCCCTTATTCCTGATGTAGCTTCCCCAATATCCAGCACATCAGCACCAAAAGCTCAAGAGACTATTAGCTACAAATTCCTGCCTTAAGGGGGCTAAGAACTTCGGCGTCCCACACGTGCAGCCAGCTTATAGTAACGTTTTCTTCATTTTAAAAGTAAAAAAATTAAAAAAAAAGGCATCCTTAGGTGGAGAATGATACATGCTGTGTGTGGTAAGGCATGTAGATATTGAGTGTATGCACCAACCATAGGTCCGTCTTTGCATACTTGACCCCAATATTTTATGAATATGTATGTACAGTTGCCATAAGAGGAATTCCCTTTAAGGCACTAGGGGCTCTCTCTATCTTTGAGCATCTTGTTCTGCCTCTCAGAGCGTACTTTTGATTTACAATAAACTTCTTTGCTTACTCTTACTTTGGACTCGCTTTCAAACTCTTAAGTGCTGCAAAGTCAAGAACCTGCATTCGCTCTGTCACCCTTGCTAGAGTTTAGCTCACTGCAGCCTCAAACTCCTAGGCTCAAATGATCCTCCCACCTCAGCCTCCTGAGTAGCTAGGACTACAAGTGCACACCACCATGTCAGGCTAATTTTTGTATTTTTTGTAGAGACAGGGTACCGCTATGTTGCCTAAACTGGTCTCAAACTCCTGGTCTCAAGTGATCCTCCTGCCTCAGCCTCCCAAAGTGTTAGGATTACAGGTGTGAGCCACTGTACCTGGACTATTTGGTTAAGTTTTAAACTTTCTTAGCAAAATAAAAAGATAGCCACCTCACACATTAGTCTCTGCTTTTTTTTATTGAGGTATAATTTATACATCTCAATTAAATAAATAAAACTTAAGTTTTATTGCTCAAAAGGTTTTAAAAAAATGCATATTTCCAATATCTGACACATACAATGTTCCCTGTGCCCATTCTCGGTCAATTCCCACCCACTTCACCAAAGGCCCCTGCTCTTCTTTAAAAAATATATTCATCATAGATTATTCTATTTCCTCTAGACCATCATGTCAGTAAAATCTTACAATAGATACTCTTTTGATGGGCTTACTTCACATAGCAAAATGTTTCTGAGATTTACTGATGTTGTTGCAAGTTTCATAGTTATTGCTTAGTTTTCTTCTGTATAGATATACCATAGTTTATGTATTCATCTGTTACTGGATATTTGCATTACTTCTAGTTTAGGGCTAGTATGAAAAAAGCTGCTGTGGAAATGGATATGTAAGTCTCTGTGTAAACATGTGTTTTCATTTCTTTTGGGTACATACACAGAAGAAGAATTGCTGGGTCATGTGGTATGTCCATGTTTAACTTGATACGAAACTGTTAAACTTTTCCAAAGTGGATGTACCATTTTATATGCTCAGTAGAATAAGAAACTCCTATTTCACTATATCCTTGCAAACAATTGGTATTGTCAGCCTTTTCAATTTTAGCCACTCTGGTGGGTGTGAAATGGCATTTTATTGTAGTCTTTATTTGTATTTTCTTAATGACTAATGATACCATTTTTTTCTTGTTTATTGGCTATCTTCTTTAAGAAAGTATCTGCTCAAATTTTTCCATCTATTCTGGCATTAGCTGCATCCCAGCAATTTTCATATGCTTTCTTTTTGAATCATTTATGACAAAATATTTTGTAAGTTTTTGTTTTATTTGATTTATGGGTTATTAAAATTTATATTGTTCAATTTCTAAGTGAAACCAGCCCAATTGTCCCATGCAACTGATTTTTATGCTTTCTTTGAATAAACGTAGAAATTGACCCTCCAAGTCTTAAAGCTTGAGAAAGTTACATTTGTCTTATCTGAGTTCCTTTCTCAGATAGATAGACCATTGGGCCTCCAAAATAGTATCAAGAAGCTAAAACTTACCAGATGACCACATCCAGCAATGAGATGCCAGACTCCTCATCCATCATGATTGCTTAAATGACCACCTGCTTCCTGTTGATCAACTTCTCTTTCTAACGTCCCTAATTTCTATTTTCCCACATATGGTTACATTCTTTCCCTGCTGTACAAACCTCTAATTTTAGTAGGCTGAGGAGATGGATTTAAGACTGATCTTCCATGCTCCTTGGCTGCACCACCCAAATAAAGCCTTCTTTCCTGGCAATACCCATTGTCTTAGTGATTGGCTTTTTGTGCAGTGTGCAGCAGGACCTAGACTGAACCCCTGGTGTTTTGGTAACACTAGTATTTGGGGTTTTTCAGACTACTTATTGATTAGTAACATAATTGATTATATTACTATGTTAGTAATATATTATGTTACTATGTTAGTAATACATAATGGCTTAGTATTAAGCCAAAGATCTCAAAGGACCTCTGTGCTTATTTCTGGTGCTCCTTTTCTGCACAGCTCCCTCCTCCCTGGAGCCCTGCCCAGCAAATTTCCTGCTGCCTCCAATTATGATATCTTCCTCCATAGTTATTGATTAGTAATATAATTCTGTTTTGATCAGAGAACAGACTTTGTGTGAATTTAACACTTTGATATTTATTAAAACTTCTTTATTTCCCAGCAGGTGGTCAATATTAGGGAATAGTCCATGATCACTTGAAAAGATTGAGTATTTTGCCATTATTGTGTGGAGTGTTTTATAAATGTCACTTAAATTAATCTAGTTGATAGAGTTTTTAAAATCTATATCCTTAATGATTTTTGCCTACTTGTGCTATAAATCTATGTATTTATCCTGTTACTAGTACATACAGATAATCTTTGTGCTTCAGTTTGGAATATATTATTCTAAATATTATTATAAATTATTTCACTAGAACAATAAATTCAGGTTTATCAATGTTTTCTTTTGCAGTATCTAATCTAATCCCAAGTGAAACAAGTGGATTTTTAAATTTCACATATTTTAATTTTTTACCTCTGTAAGTTTCATTTGGTTCTTTTCTTATTTCTTCCACTCTTTTTGTCATCAAATTTAGGTTTTCCTTGAAATTCATTAGAATATTAGTAATAGATGCTTTATAGCCTTTGAGTGTTTTCCTTTTACTTAGTAATTTCTGGGATTTTGTTTGTTTTTACAAATCCTTGTGTTGAGGGCTGACTTTCAATAGATGACAGTGAGGGTGCTGCTTTGCTAGGTAAGAAACCCCGACCCAGAAGCTGGTCCTCTAGGAATGCTTTAGCACCAGGTTTCCCACGAACGTGAGTTGTGTGATGGGCGAGGGAGCGGCCACCTTTCCACAACACTCCATTTCCCAGGACAAGGGGCACTCTGCACTGGACTCCTGTCCAGGCGCCCGGCGTGGGGTAGAGTGGCCCACCCTTGGGTTGTTTTTTAATTGAACAAATTTTTTTCCTAAAAACAGATCACATTCCCCACTCTTCACAGATCTAGTAATTTTTTCTTAGTGCAGGATTTTGAGATCGATATATTGTTGAGAGCCCAGATTTTGTTTATTTCCTTTAAAGAGTACTTAGTTTTATTCTTCAAGGCATTTAATTTTTGGCAGATCAGTTTGATCATTTCAAGGCTTATTTTAATGCTTTTTTAGAATAGGTCATAATTTTCTCTTGTATTCTGAGGCTTTTCTAAAGTCTCAAAGAATGCCTGGGGTGTTCAGTAAGATGTTTTGTTCTTCACTCTGGCTGATGAGAAATCCTAACACTGAGTAATCTCTGGAATATCTACATGTCCAACCCACGGTTCCCCTAGAAGCTGCTCTCCACCAGCCCTTGCAGAGTTTCCCCATGTGCAGATGCAGCTTAGTATTAAGCCAAAGATTTCAAAGGACTTCTGTGCTTATTTCTGGTGCTCCTTTTCTGCACAGCTCTCTCCTCCCTGGAGCCCTGCCCAGCAAATTTCCTGCTGCCTCCAATTATGATATCTGCCTCCATAGCTAAGTACCCTGCTTGGGATCTCTCTCCCTTACCTTTATTTGGAAAGTGCTTCCAGGCAAAAAGCTGGAATAATTATAGGGTTCACCTCATTTGTTTCCCTTTTCTCAGGGATCAAAGTACTGTGCTGCCTATTGTCCGAAGTCTGAAAACATTTGCTTCAATTACTTGGTTGAGTTTTATAACTTTTTATGTCAAGGGAGTGGGTCTAGTGTCAGTTACTCTGACATTGCCAGAAGCAGAGGTCCACATTCCTTCTAACATCTTTTTAAGGTATGAAGTATTCTTAAAAGTCTGGGAACAACTAATTTCATGATGCCTTATAATATTAACATATCAAAAAATTTGTCATTCTAATATTCCCCAAACACACTGAACATCTTCTGTGCACCTATCATTGTCAGGTACACATTTATTGTGGGAATCAAAGGTAAATAACACAGGACCTCTCTCCTTGAGAAGCCTGCAGTCTAGTAGAAATAAAAGCTCTTTTGATATGGTATGAAATACCTTACATAATTAGAAATGTGGCAAAAAGCACATTTGATAGTATGATTATTTTTTGGATAGAGTAGGTATCAGGAATATGTATGTTTTTATGCCTATATGGATTAAAAGAGTTCACACTTTACTCAGCAAGCCATTTATGTGTGATTTCATGTCTAGCTTCTCCCATACAATCTAATTTGATAACTAGTGATGAAATTGATATACACTTTCCTCACTTAAAAGACAAGTTGTGAAGAATTTTTACTTTAAGGTAAAGACAAGATATGAACTAGGGCCATGCAAAGCCCAGTTTTCTATTATTTTGATTTTAGCATTCTATATGCCTATATTGTCTCATATTAGGTCACTTCCAGAGATCTCAAACATTCAGGCGTCTCTGGGCATGACAAATCTAGGGGTGGGGCAAACTCAACTTTTTTTAAATAGCTTTATTGAGGAATAATTTATATGCAATAACAGTCACCCTCTAAAAATATTAAATTCAGCAGAGTTTTTTTGTATGTTCACAGAATTTTGCAACCATCCCTGCTATCTAATATTCAGACGTATTCATGACCTCAGAAAGAAATTCTGTATCCATAAGCAGTCACTCCCCATTCCCTCTCCAAGCCCCTGGAAATGACCAATCTTTATGTGCCTATGAATTTGAGTAACTGGATATTTCATATAAACGGAATCATACTATATGTGGCCTTTTATGAAAAACTTCTTCATTCATCACATTTATAAACTTTACCCATGGTGTAGTATGTATCAATTCTTCATTCATTATTATTGCTAAATAATATCTCAACTCATGGATATGCCACATTTTGTTTATCCATTCAGCAGTTGATGGAAATTTGGATTGTTTCCACATTTTGGCTATTATGAATAATGCTGCTATGATCATTCATATACAAATTTTTGTGAGTATATGTTTTTTCATTTCTCTTGGATACTTACCAAGGAATGTAGTTACAAGGTCATATCATAAGTCTATATTTAACACTCTGAGGAACTTCCAAACCATTCTCCAAAGCAGCTGCACCATTTTGCAGTCCTAACAACAATGTCTGAGAGTTCCAATTTCTCCATGTACTTACCATCACTGCTACTGTCTATTTTATGTAATCATCCTTTGAGTACAAAGTAGTATCTCATTTTAATTTGAATTTCTGTAATTACTAATGATGGTGATCTTTTCATGGGTTTTTCACTATCAATTGAGTTGTCTCTCTCTCTCTCTTTCTCTTTTTTTTTTTTTTTTTTTAAGACGGTCTCACTCTGTCACCCAGGCTGAAGTGCAGTAGAATGATGACAGTTCATTGCAGCCTCGTCCTCCTGGACTCAAGTGATCCTCCCACCTCAGCCCCCTGAGTAGCTGGGAATACAGTCACATGCCAACATGCCCAGCTAATTTTTTTGCACTTTTTATAGAGGCAGGGTTTCGCTGTGTTGCCCAATCTGATCTGGGACTCCTGGGCTCAAGTGATCTGCCCATCTCAGCCTTCCAAAGTGTTGGGATTACAGGTATGAGCCATAGTGCCTGTCAAATTGTGTCTTTATTGTTGATTTGTAATTAAGTTATAATAGTTTATTATATGAGCTGAGTACAAGTCCCTAATCAGATTGATGATTTGCAAATATTTTCTACCATTTTATGAGTTGTATTTCTTGATGATGTGCTTTGAAGTACAAGTTTTTAATATTGAAGTGTAGTTAGTCTATTCTTTGTCACACATGATGTTTGTGTCATATCTATGAAACCATGCCTAATGAAAGGTCATAAAAAAGTACTCCTACATTATCTTCTAAAAGTTTTAGACTTTAATGTTCATTTTTAGTCTATGATCCATTTTGAGTTAATGTTTATACGTAGTGTGACAGAGGGATCCAAATTAATTGTTTTGCATATGGATATCCATTTGTCTCTGTCATTTGTTGAAAAGATTTTTGATACCCATTGAAATTTTTTGGTCCACTTGTTAAAAATAAATGGACTGAAATGTAGGTATATTTATTAACTAAAATCTCAATTCCCAAATTCTACTGCATTGATCTATATGTCTATGCCTATGCAAGTATCACATTTGATATGCTTATGCAAGTGTCACATTTGGGTGGGCTCTGTGCCCCCACCCAAATCTCATCTCAAATTGTAATCCCCACATGTTGGAGGAGGGGCCTGGTGGAGGGTGATTGAATTATGGAGGTGGACTTCTCCCTTGCTGTTCTCATGTTAGTAAGTTCTCATGAGATCTGATGGCCCCACTCTCCTGCCACCATGTAAGACATGTCTTGCTTCCCCTTCAGCCATGATTGCAAGTTTCCTGAGTCCTCCCCAGCCACGTGGAACTGTGAGTCAATTAAGCCTCTTTTCTTTATAAATTACACAGTCTCAGGTAGTTCTTTATAGCATTGTGAAAATTGACTAATACAGAAAATTGGTACCTGGAGTAATGGGGTATTGCTATAAAGACACTTGAAAATGTGGAAGCAACTTTGGAACTGGGTAACAGGTAAAGGTTGGATGAGCTTGGAGGACTCAGAAAAAGGCAGTAAGATGAGGGAAAGTTTGGAACTTCCTAGAGACTTGTTGAATGGTTTTGACCAAAATGCTGATCCTGATATGGACAATGAAGTCCAGGCTGAGGTGGTCTCAGACAGAGATGAGGGACTCATTGGGAACTAGAGCAAAGGTCACTCTTGTTATGCTTTAGCAAAGAGACTGGTGGTATTTTACCTCTGCCCTAGAGCTCTGTGAAACTTTATACTTGAAAGAGGTGATTTAGGGTATCTAGTGGAAGAAATTTCTAAGTAGCAAAGTGTTCAAGATGTGACCTGGCTTTTTCTCAAAGTGTACTCTCATATGTTGAAGAAAGAGATGGTCTGAAACTGGAATTTATGTTTAAAAGGGAAGCAGAGGGTACAAGTTTGGAAATTTTGCAGCCTGATCATGCTGTAGAAAAGAAAAATCCATTTTCTGGGGAGAAATTCAAGCCTGCTGCAGAAATTTATGTAAGTAACAAGGAGTGGAAGGTTAATAGACAAGACAATGGGGAAAATGTCTCCAGGGCATGTCAGAGATCTTCAAGGCAGCCCCTCCCATCACAGGTCCTGAGGCCTAGGAGGAAAAAAATGATTCCCTGGGTCAGGCCCAGGACCCTGCTACTACATGCAGCCTCAGGACATGGTACCCTGTGTCCCAGATGCTCCAGCTCCAGCTGTGGCTGAAAGGGGCCAACATACAGTTGGGGCTGTTGCTTCAGAGGGTGCAAGCCTCAAGCCTTGGCAGCTTCTATGTGGTGTGGGTGTGTGGAAGTGCAGAGACAAGAGTTGAGGTTTGGGAACCTAAGACTATTAGAGGATGTATGGAAATGCCTGGATGTCTTAGCAGAAGTCTGCTGCAGGGGTAGAGCCCTCATAAAGAACCTCTACAAAGGCAGTGGAGAGGGGAAATGTGGGGTAGGAGCCCCCACTAAAGCACTGCCTAGTGGAGCTGTGAGAAGAGAGCCACTGTCCTCCAGACACCAGAAAGGTAGATCCACTGACACCTTGCACCATGCACCTGGAAAAGCCACAGGCACTCAATGCCAGCCCACGAAGGTAGCTGTGGGGACTGTGACCTGCAGACCCATGGAGGCAGAGCTTCCCAAGGCCTTGGGAGCCCACCCCTTGCATCAGCATGCCCTGGATCTGAGACATGGAGTCAAAACAGATTATTTTGGAGCTTTAAGATTTAGTGACTGCCCTACAGGGATTTGGACGTCAGTGGGGCATGGAGACACTTTGTTTTGGCCAATTTCTCCCATTTAGAATGGGAGCGCTTACCCGATGTCTGTACCCACATTATATCGTGGAAGTAACTAACTTTTTTATTTTACTGGCTCATAGGCAAAAGGGACTTGCCTTGTCTCAGATGAGACTTTGGACTTGGACTTTTCAGTTAATGCTGGAATGAGTTAAGACTTTTAGGGACTGTTGAGAAGGCACGATTGGTTTTGAAATGTGAGGACATGAGATTTGGGAGAAGCCAGGGTGGAATGAAATAGTTAAGCTTTGTGTTCCCATCCTAATCTCATCTCAAATTGTAATCCCCAAGTGTTGGAGGAAGGGCTTGGTGGGAGGTGATTGATTTATGGGGGCAGGCTTCTCCCTTGTTGTTGTCATGATCGTAAGTGAGTTCTCATGAGATCTGATGGTTTTAAAGTGTGGCACCACTCCCCCAGCCTCCTGCCACCATGTAAGACATACCTTGCTTCCATTTTCTGCCATGGTTACAAGTTTCCTGAGGCCTCCCCAGCCATAGGGAACTGTGAGTCAATAAAACTTCTTTCCTTTATAAGTTACCCAGTCTTAGGTAGTTCTCTATAGCACTACCTAAAACAGAACGAATACAACACTGTCCTGTTTATTATAGTTGTAGTATGTTTTAAAATTAAGAAATAAAAGTATCCCAACTTTATTATTTTTAAAGATTGTTCTGGCCATTCTGGGACCCTTGCATTTTCATGTGAAGCTTAGAATCAGCTTTGTAAATTTCTACAAAAAAAGCAACTGGGGTTTTTTATAGAAATTTTGTGAAATACGTCAATTTGGGGAATATTGCCATCTCAACAATATTAACTCTTCCAATACATGAACACATTATATCTTTCCATTTGTTTAGTTTATCTTTAATTTCCTTCAGCAATGTTTTGCAGTTTTGGCATATGCATCTTACATTTATTTTCTTAAGTATATTCCTAAGTATTCTATTCTTTTTAATATGATTGTAAATGGAATTGTATATTTAATTTCTAGATGGTTCATTGTAAGCATATGGAAATGCAATTGATTTTATATACTGGTCTTGTATATTCTTCAACCTTATTGAACTTATTTATGAGTTCTAATAGTTGTGTGTGTGTGTGTGTTCCCAGGATTTTCTTTATATAAGATTATATATTCTATAAATAGTTACAGTTTTATTTCTTCTTTTCTAATCTGGTGGCTTTTTTCTTAATTTCCCTAACTATAACCTTCAATATAATGTTGAATATACATGCTGAAAGAGGACGTATTTTCTTATTCTTAGTTTTAGGGGAATAATTCAGTCTCTCACCATTAATTATGATGTTAACTGTGGGTTTTTCCTGGATATTCTTTATAGAATTGAGGAAGTTTCCTTCTATTTGTCTGTTAATGATTTTTATCATGAAAAAGTGTTAGGTTCTGTTGGATGGTTTTTTTTGTGTGTCTATTGAGATGATCATGTGTTTATTGGAATTTCCTTTATTGCTTGAGTGATTTTTGGATACCAGGTCAACTCTGTATTCCATGAGTAAATCTCACTTGATCATAGTGTATAATCGATTTTATACATTGCTCAGTTTGAATTTTGTTGAGAGTGTTAATTGATAAAACTTTGACTAGACGGACCAAGAAAGCGAAAGTATTAAGGCTCAACTTACTAACATCAGGACTTAAAGGGAACGTCACTGGTGACTGTAAAGAATTAGAAAGCATTACAAGGGAAATGCTATGAACAATTGTACACCAACACATTAGATAACCTACATAGAATTGACAAATTCCTATAAAGACACAAACTATCAAAACTGACTCAAGAAGAAATATAATTACGAAAAAACATAACAAATAAAGAGGTTGAATTAGTAATTTAATAACATTCCACAGAGAAAAAAGTGACTTCACTGGTGAATTCTACCAACATTTAAAGAATAATTAAATCCAATACTTTATAAATACTGTCAAAAAATAAAACAGGAGCAAAATTTGCCAGTTCACACCACGAAGCCTACATTAACCTGACACCAAACCAGACAAAAACATCATGTGAAAACTGCAGACCAATATTTCATATAAATATAGATACAATACTTTTTAATTCTGTAAAGTCACTGGTGATATTCTCTTTAAATCCTGATGTTAGTGACCTGAGTCTTCCTAGTTTCTTGGTCTGTCTAGCTACCATTTTGTCAATTTTGTTAACCTTTTCAAAGAATCATCTTTTGGTTTCATTGATTTTCTCTATTATTTTTCTAGTCTCTGTTTCATTTATTCCAACTGTAATATTACTTTGTTTTGCTTGTTTTGGTTCCAGTTTGGTCCTTTTTGCATATATAAAGTGAGTTTGTCAAATTTACATCTTTATTTTTTATTTACTTTTAATTTAACTTTTAAATTCGGGGGTACATATGCAGGTTTGTTTTATAGGTAAACTTGCATCATAGGGGTTTGTTGTACAGACAATTTCATCACCCAGGTATTAAGCCTAGTACCCATTAGTTATTTTTCCTGATTTTCTTCCTCTACCCACTCTCCATCCTCCAAAAGGACCCAGTGTGTGGTGTTCCTCTCTGTGTGTCCATGTGTTCTCATCATTTAGCTCCCACTTATAAGTGAGAATATGCGGTATTTGGTTTTCTGTTTCTGTGTTAGTTTTTTAAGGATAATGGCCTCTGGCTCCATTCATCTTCTTACACAGGACATGTCTCATTCTTTATTATGGTTGCATAGTATTCCATGGTGTATATATACCACATTTTCTTTATGCAGTCTACAATTGATGGGCATTTGGGTTGATTCCACATCTTTGCTATTGTGAATAGTGCTGCATGAACATACGCATGCATGTGTCTTTATAACAGAATGGTTTATATTCCTTTGGGTGTATACCCAAAGGAATGGATTGCTAAGTCACATGATATTTCTGTTTTTGGGTCTTTGAAGAATCACCACACTGTCTTCCACATGGTTGAACTAATTTACACTCCCACCTACAGACTATAAGTGTTTCTTTTTCTACACAGCCTCACCAGAGTTTGTTTTTTGTTTGTTTTTACAGCAATTCTGACTTGTATGAGATAATATCTAATTGTGGTTTTGATTTGTATTTCTCTAATAATCCATGATGTTGTTAAGTTTCTTATAGATGCTGGATATTAGACTGGATGCATAGTTTGCAAGTATGTTCTCCATTCTGTAGGTTGTCTGTTCACTCTGTTGATAGCTTTCTTTGATGTGCAGAAGCTCTTTAGTTTAATTAGATCCCATTTTTCAATTTTTGCATTTGTTGCAACTGCTTTTGGAGTCTTCATCATGAAATCTTTGCCTGTTCCTATGTCAGAATGATATTGCCTAGGTTGTCTTCCAGGGTTTTTATAGTTTTGGGTTTTACAGTTAAGTCTTTAATCCATCTTGAGTTAATTTTCATATATGGTATAAGGAAGGGATCCAGTTTCAATCTTTTGCATATGGCCAGCCAGTTATTCCAGCACCATTTATCAAATTATTTTTAATATAATTGTTTACTGCTATAATTTTCTCTCTTAGCACTGTTTTAGTGGTATCTATTGCATTTATATATTGTGTTTTTATTTTAATTTATTTCAAAGTAAATTTTAATTTGTTTTCTATTTTTTTCTTGACCTATTGGTTATTTAGGAGGTCATTTAATTGCAAAGTAATTGTGAATTTTCCAAAATTTTTTCTGTTATGGATTCCTATTTAATCCCATTGTGATTGGGAAATATTCTTTGTATGATTTTAGTCCTTTTAAATTTATTATGGCATGTCTTATCACCAAACATATGGTTTGCCCTGGGACTGTTCCATGTACACTTGAGAAGAGCAGTTGTTGCATGGAATATTCTATATATGGCTATTAGTTATAGTTAGCTTATCATGTTGTTCAACTCTTCTACTTTTTTTTTTTATCTTTTGCTTGTTTCTTCTATTATCAAAAGGGAGACATTAAAGTCTCTAACTATTACAGTTGAATTGTCTATTTTTATTTTAATTCTGTAAGATTTTGATTTATTTATTTGGGAGCTATATTGTTAGATGCATATATATTGATATTTGTTATGGCTTCCTGAGAGACTGAACTTTTTATTTTATAAAATGTCTTTCTTTGACTCTAGTAACAATACTTTTCATAAAGTCAATTTTTGTCTTATGTTAGTACATTCACCTCAGCTCTCTTTTGGTTATAGGTTGCACGGATAAGTTTTTCTTTTCTTTTATTTTCATTCTGCTTGTGCCTTTGAATCTGTTTGCCTCCTATAGAAAGCATATAGCTGGATTTTTATTAAAAAATTTATTTGGTCATTTCTGATTTTTGATTGGTGTGTTTGCTCCATCATCTTTAATGTAATTAGGATTTACATCTGCCATTTTGCTATTTGCTTTTATATATTATGTCTTTTACTCAGTACTTATTCTTCATCTATTGTTCAATTATTGCATTCTTTTGTATTAAATATCTTATAGTGGACCCTTTTAATCCCCTTGTTGTGTTATATATTTAACTAGTAGTGGTGGCCTTAAAAATTATAATTAACATCCTAACTTAAACTAGTTCATATTAATATTAACTTAATATCAATATTATATAACATTTTGCCCTTATGAAGTTCCATTTTCTCTTTTCTCCCTTATACTATTATACACTTCCATTTTCTCTTCTCTTCCTTATGGTATTATTACACCCTTATATGTTATAACACAGGGTTATAATCATTGCTTTATAAAGTGATTTTAAATCATATAAGAAAGAAGTTATGAAGAAAAATACACTTATAATATGCATATTTACTTATGAAGTTACATTTATTGGTGGTGTTCTAATTCTTCATATTACTGTCTATAGTCCATTCATTTCAGTGAAAAACTCCTTTTGGTATATCCTGTAGTCATATACGCTAGAGATGAATTCTCTCTTTGCTTCTTTGGGAATGTCTTCTCTTTCATTTTCAAAGGACAGTATCTCTGGAGATTGAATTACTGGTTGACAGTCTTTTCTATCAACACTTTAAACACAATATTCCACTGTTTCTTGAGCCCCATAGTTTCCAATGAGATGCCACCCTTTGTACTTGATGAGATGTTTCACTTTTTCTGGTGCCAAAATTATCTTTGTCTTTGAATTTTGATAGTTTGACTGTGATGTGTCTAGGTATATTAGTCCATTTTCACACTGCTGATAAAGACATACTCCAAGACTGGGAAATTTACAAAAGAAAAAGGTTTAATTGGAATCACAGTTCTACGTGGCTGAGGAGGCCTCACAATCATGGCAGAAGGCAGAGAGGAGCAAGTTACATCTTATGTGGATGGCAGCAGGCAAAGGGAGAGCTTGTGCAGAGAAACTCCCATGTTTTAAAAACCATCAGATCTCATGAGACCCATTCACTATCACAAGAACAGCACAGGACAGACCCACCCCTGTGATTCAATCATCTCCCACCTGGTCCCTCCCACAACATGTGGAAATTATGGGAGCTACAAGATGAGACTTGGGTGGGGACACAGAGACAAACCATATCATTCTGCTCCTGACCCCTCCCAAATCTCATATCTTCACATTTCAAAACCAATCATGCCTTCCCAAAAGTCCCCCAAAGTCTTAACTCATTTCAGCATTAACTCAAAAGTCCACAGTCCAAAGTCTCATTCTAGACAAGGCAAGTCCCTTCTGCCTGTGAGCCTGTAAAACCAAAAGCAAGTTAGTTACTTCCTAGATACAATGGGGGTACAGGCATTGGATAAATACAGTCATTCCAAATGGGAGAAACTGGCCAAAACCAAAACGCTACAGGCCCCATGCAAGTCTGAAATCCAGTGGAGCAGTCAAATCTTAACGCTCCAATATGATCTCCTTTGACTCCTTTTCTCACATCCAGCGCATGCTGATGCAAGAGGTAGGTTCCCATAGTCTTGGGCAGCTCTGACCCTGTGGCTTTGCAGGGTACAGTCTCCCTCCCAGCTGCTTTCATGGGCTGGCATTGAGTGTCTGAGGCTTTTCCAGGAGCATGGTGCAAGCCATCAGTGGATCTACTATTTAGGGTCTAGAGGATGGTGGCCTTCTTCTCACAGCTCCACTAGGTGGTGCCCCAGTAGGTACTCTGTGTAGGGGCTCCCACCCCACATTTCCCTTCTGTTCTGCCCTAGAAGAAGTTCTCCATGAGGACCCCTCCCCTACAGCAAACCTCTGCCTGGGCATCCAGGCATTTCTATACATCTTCTGAAATCTAGGTAGAGGTACCCAAACCTCAATTCTTGACTTCTGTGCACCCACAGACTCAACACCATATGGAAGCTGCTAAGGCTTGAGGTTTGCACCCTCTTATGCCACAGCCCAAGCTCTACATTGGCCCCTTTCAGCCATGGCTGGAGTGACTGCAATGCAGGGCACCAAGTCCCTAGGCTCTACACAGCCTGTGATGGGAGGGACTGCCATGTAGACTTCTGACATGCCCTGGAGACATTTTCCCCATTGTCTTGGGGATTAACATTCAGCACCTCATCACTTATGCAAATTTCATCAATTGGCTTGAATTTCTCCTCAGAAAATGGGTTTTTCTTTTCTACCACATTGTCAGACTGCAAGTTTTTTGAACTTCTATGCTCTGCTTTCCTTATAAAACTGAATGACTTTAACAGCACCCAAGTCATATCTTGAATGCTTTGCTGCTTAGAAATTTCTTCCACCAGATACCCTAAATCATCACTCTCAAGTTCAAAGTTCCACAAATCTCTAGGTTAGGGGCAAAATGCCTCCAGTCTCTTTGCTAAAACATAACGAGTCACCTTTGCTCCAGTCCTCAACAAGTTCCTCATCTCCATTTGAGACCACCTCAGCCTGGACCTTATTGTCCATCTCACTATCTGGATTTTGGTCAAAGCCATTCAACAACTCTCTAGGAAGTTCCAACCTTTCCCACATTTTCTTGTCTTCTTCTGAGCCCTCCAAACTGTTGCAACCTCTGCCTGTTACCCAGTTCCAAAGTCACTTCCATATTTTCAGGTATTTTTTCAGTAGTACCCTACTCCTGGTAGGAATTTATTGTATTAGTCCATTTTCATGCTGCTGATGAAGACATACTCAAGAGTGGGCAATTTACAAAAGTAAAAGGTTTAATTGTACTCACAGTTCCACATGGCTGGGGAGGTCTCACAATCATGGTGGAAAGCAAAGAGGAGAAAGTCACATCTTATATGAATGGAAGCAGGCAAAGAGCTTTTGCAGAGAAACTCCTGTTTTTTAAAAAACCATCAGATCTCATGAGACTCATTTACTATCACGAGAATAGCATGGGAAAGACCCACCCCGTGATTCAATCATCTCCACTGGATCCCTCCCACAACACATGGGAATTATGGGAGCTACAAGATGAGATTTGGGTGGGGACATAGAGTCAAACCATATCACTAGTTGAGTGTGTACTAGTTCATTCTCATGCTGCTATAAAGAATACCTGAGACTGGGTAATTTATGAAGGAAAGGAGTTTAATTGAATCACAGTTCTGCATGGCTGGGGGTGGGGATCAGGAGACTTACAATCATGGCAGAAGGGGAAGCAGGCACATATTACATGGCTGAAGGTGAGAGAGAGAGCAAAGTGGGAAGAGCCCCTTGTGAAACCATCAGATCTCACGATAACTCACTATCACAAGAACAGTATTGGGGAAACTGCTCCCGTGATCCAGTCACCTCCACCAGGTCCCTCCCTCAACACCTGGGGATTACAATTTGAGATGAGATTTGGGTGGGGACACAAAGCCAAACCATATCAGTGAGTTTCTTCTACTTGCAGATTATTCAGCTTCTTGGATGTGTAGTTTAATATTTTTTAATCGAATCTGGGAAGCTTTTAGCCACTGTTCTTCGTATGTTCTTTTCTTTCTCTCTGTCTTTACTTTCTGGACAACTGTTATGTGTATTTTGATATGCTTGATGATATTCCACAGATCTCTATGACTCTGTTCATTTTTCTTCATTTAGTTTTTCTTTCTGTTTTTCAGACAGTATAATATCTGTGATCTTATCTTCAGGTCTCATGATTCTTTTTCTGCCACTTTTAATCTGCTGTTGGGCAACTTTACTGAACTTTTTATTTCATGTATTGTATTTTTAAACTCTAGATCTTCTATATAGCTCTATTTCTATTTTTTATTCTTTATTGATAATCTCTATATGGTGAGATAATGTTCTTACACATTCCTTTAATCTTTTAGGCATGATTTTCTTTGGTTCCTTGAACACCCTTATAATAGTTGATTTAATGTCTTTATCTTATAAATGAAATATCTTGGCTTCCTCCGAGATTGTTTCTATTTACTATTTTGCCCCTAGTATATGAGCCATATTTCTCTGTTTATTTTATGTATTATATTGTTGAAAATTGTACATTTTAAATAGTAAAATGTGGCATTTCCAGAAATCAGTTATTTCCTTTCCAAGTTTTTTGTTGTTGTTATGTTATTTTCTTGTTTGATAACTTTCTTGAATTAATTTTTACAACTTTACTTTTTTTGATACATGAAGCCACTGAAATCTCTGCTCAGTTAGCTTAGTGGACAACTAATAATTAGATGCAAATTTTCCAAATTTCCAGGAACCAATTATTATCTCAGCCTTTGCTGAGAGGTTGTGCATGGGTGTTGAGTTCACCTTCAACACTCTGACAGTTTACAACTCTACCTTAGCTTTCAATTCCTGATGTGCATAGGCTCAACTTCAGTCAGAAGTGAGAGATTAGGATCTTCTTTGGTTTTACCTGGACATCTTTACAGCCCTACACACATATGTGGCCTGTTAGGTTTTTAGGAATATGTTGGAACTTTTCAAAGCCCCCAATAAGCATCAAATTATTTTAAGTTTTCTTTTAGGTTTCATGACCTGCCTATTGTTTCCTTTGTCTGGTATATTTACCTCAGGCAACTGTAATGTTAAAGAATTGCCACTGATTGTTTTCAACAAACACCTTGGGGAAAGGGCTTTTCCCACTGAGTGTTGCATCAGGTCAGTTAAAGACTGGTCTTCTGAATATGATTTTCCACAAAATTGCCAGAAAGTCAAATAATGACAATTCTCTGAGGATGGAGCTTTTGGAGAAGCTCCAAACCAATTCTTCCCCCAACCCCCACCCCACCCAGTGGCTGTTAGCCTGGTGGTTGTCACAGGTTTCATAGTTTCATAGTTGTGAGGCTGCTGGGTTTCAAGGCTATCACAGAGTTGGGGTGGGGGCAATGGGAATACAGCAAGCTAAAATGCCACAAAGCTTAGTATTTTTACAGAGAATCATCTGTTTCTCCTGAATATGTGCTCCTGGAATTGTTGCAAACCTTTAGCTATTTTCTAGAGTTCTAAAATTGTTGATTTTGACAATCTTTGCCAGGGTCTTCACAGCTTTTATGGAAGAGCAGATTCTCAGAGGTCCTTACTTTACCATTCTGGAAATGCTTCCCACTATTTTTAAACTTAACATAAATACAACATAAATCTTAGATTACAAACTCAAATTATATGAGGAATATGTGTATTTTTTATTTTTTAGAAACAATTTACTTTCTATTATAAGTTCAGATCCTTCCATGGTGATTAAAATTTAGTCTCATTCAATATACATAAACTGTTTTCTTATATTCTTGTGTAAGAACCTTGGGAGTTGTTTAATGTCAAGTTGGGGAAAAAAGTATCTGGTCCTTCATCTTGTTCCATGTATGCTAATAACCACTGAGATGCTCATTGATCCTTAAAATCTTCATGCTTTAGTACATTTATGTAATCACTAAGACATTCCAGCCTGTGTAGTCCTTTAGGTCCAGACATGCTGTATGCTATGCCATGCCCTCTGTGTTCTCAGGAAATAATGAGATGTTCTCTAGTCATGTTGGGATGTGAGATCCCTATAAGGTAACACTTACTAAGACAAGACAAGAATTATTTCTTCTGTGAGCTATTCCATCCCTTCTGAGGGCACTGTCTAAATGATCTTAGTCTCCTTAAATCTATCAGGTCGGGGAAGTTTGTCATCCCCTGAATTTCTGGAAGGGCAGGACACAGAAACTCAAATATCTGGGCTCTTTTTGCTTTTCCTTTTATCCTCATCCTGTTCCAACTGGGATTAGTCTCAGAGTGGAAGCTTTCCTCTGATTCGATTTGTATTCTTCCAAGTTCATTGTATATACCCTGAGTCCTTCTCATCTACTTTAGAGCCTGGGCTTTTGAAATTAAACCATGAAAATAATTTCCTTCTTCTTTGTTAGCACTTTCCCTCCTTGAGATAAGTTCAGAATTGCCTAGCTGGTATCTAAATTCATAAGAGTTAAAGGACAGCCAAATTAGGTATATCTGAGAAAAAATGGTTGATGTTTCCAAAATATTATCTTATCACACTAAGAACAACTTCTGCACATCTGACAATCCACAGCCAGTTTCTGTTTTCACTTAAGGAGATGTGTTTAAACTACAGAAAAAGTAATTTAAGTAAGTTATGTTGAAGAAGATTTCACAAAAATCAATACTCAGAACTATTAATTGAAATGTTAACACAATCTTTCCTAAATGGAATGGTGACCTCTTCAGTCCTTTCTCTCTATATACTTTACGCCATTGTAGAGTGGCACATTGAAGGAATAACGAAGCAGGTTTGGATTCAAACGCACTCTTACCTGAAAGAACTATATTTATTATTCAGACATGGGTGTACAGTGGAAAAAGAAATATTCTTTAAATTATATATGCAAAACCTCTCTCTTCTCTAACATTATTATTACAGGTCACTTTTATCTTCATTTTTATCATTAACAGTGAAGTGGAAGTGATTCAACTTACCTTTCCAATCTACTTTCAACCTCCAATTCTTTGAAGTAATTAATTAACTGTATCTATATTTATACACATAGAAGTGTAGAAAGTTTGCTATTTTAAATAATCTTAGAGACCCCTTTGCATAGAGCAAAATATCCTTATGTATAATACAAAGCACACACCCACTGTATTTTTGCTTTTGTAATGCCTGTTTTTGTTATAGTAATAGTTCATAAAGCACATCTACATTCACAGTAATTCTTGATTTTATTTTTTGTGCAGACTCATAAAACTTGAATCAAAGCAGACTTGCTTTGTTTGTATTCAGATTATACCCAAGGTTTTACACAGATCACACTGGACCATCCAGACAACCTCACCCGAACAGAGTTATAATCTGTCTACACTCACTATTTCAAGTATTCTAGGGACTAGATGAGGAGCTGAGTAAGGGCCTGGCACACCTTCTCCTTCCTCTTTACCAAACACGTTAGACATTTCTCCTTGGAAGCAGAATGTATTTGATACCCGTCTTCAAAACCTCATCCACTTATGATAGTCTTTTTTTTTTTCTGTTTTCTGTGTCTCAGAGGAAGAATTTACCAGTTTTCAACCCTACTGCTCTCTTCTATTATTCTTCTAATATCTCTGTGCTTCCTGTCCACCTTCCCCTTACTTCCCCAAACAGTTCATAGAACCCTTCAGCTACGTCCATGAAGAAATGCAGAGGTCCAGTGGAAAGAGCACTGCATTTTGTTCTCACATGGACCACACTTCTATATAAATGTGTATAATTAGGTCTTAGAATCATAAAATGTTATGTTGAGGAGGGGCCTTAAAGTCTGTAAACTTAATCTTGTGACTGTAGACAAGTAAGATCACAGAAGCCAGCACGATCAAGTAACTTACTCAAGATCACAAACCAGGGAATAATGCAGCCAGAACTGGAGTTTCCTTATTCCCCATAGGGCACTCTTGCATGTATGAAATTCTCCTGAGTCTAAGCTAATCTTCTCTTGTTTATTAGATGTCTAAATATCTCCCATGTAAGACCCTGCCAATTCACCAACCTAACTCCTGTTTTCAGATGACTTCTTTATCACTTCTATAGAGGCTAAGAAAACTTAAATACTCACTCAAATTCCTTTGCTTATGGAGATCTCTGGCTACATGACACAATTTGACTGGTAAAACATGAATGGAAGTCTGTTGGTGGGAGGTATAACTTCTGAAAGGGATTTATATGTTTATAAAAAGTACAGAGGACCTGGCATTACTATTTCCCTTCCTCCATTACTCCCTGCTCTGAATCCTAATACAACGCTGAGAACTTCAGCAGCTCTCTTATAACTATGAGAAAAAACAAAAATGAAAAAAGAAAAAAAGCAAACTGCACAGATACTAACCCTTACATCATTGAACAGTTTAATGAATATCAGCAGCCACTTAATACAGACATCCTGTTTTATGAGAAAAAAAGTGAATTATTTCAGCTACAATGTCAGATTTTCTGTTATTTTTCGGCCAAAATCTTCCTAACAAATAAAGTCAATTTGAAAAATCAAATGAAGTGACATAAAGGTGTCTATGTGTGTATATGCAAATTTAAAACTTTATTCAAATATTCAGTGTTATTTTTAGGACTAAAAATATCTGCCAACTGCATATTTAAAATATAACTACTGCTTTTTAAAATCTTTGCTTATTTTGTCTTTAAATATATTATGCAAAGGTGTGAGGTATTACTCTACAAGTTCTTTATAGCTCAGTTGTTGGAAATTCAGAATGCATTCTTTTCTGGAAATTCTATGTAACACATAATTTTGAAGTTTCTGAATCCTGCAATAATGTAGCTGTGATATGGTGTTAGTCACAGTACTATAAAATATTATTACCCAGTTTTTATGGGAGAATATGTTAAGAGTTAGAACTTACGTTGCCACACATGTCCCTTTTTCTCTGGCAGAATATCCATCAGGAGGGTTTAATATTCCCCTCCACTCACCATCACACCTATTGCACAATGGAAGCTCCAAGCCACTGGCCATAGTCCCATAGCTTGGGGAAATGTGTAAGAAGTCATATCTGAAGAACTAAGGTTTTGCAGTGGAATTTGGTACAGGGCAACAGGAACGTTTCTCAGTCAAGGTCACTCCTTGCCAAAGATCATTAATCTAAAAGAAAGAATACTGCCCTGAAGAATATTTCTATGCTTGGAAATGAGGAAAGTAGAGTCAAAGGTGAGGGAAGCTCACCTTTATTTATTTATTTATTTATTTTACTGTAGCTGACTTTTCAAAGCCCAGTACTGAGGGAGAAGCAGAGATAGAAAAATGGGTTTGGCTGGATGTGGTGGCTCATGCTTGTAACCCCAGCACTTTGGGAGGCTGAGGCTGGCAGACATTTTGAGCCTAGGAGTTTGAGACCAGCCTGGGCAACATGGTGAAACCCTGTCTTTACTATGAATACAAAAATTTGCCAGGTGTGGTGGCATGCACCTGTAGTCCCAGCTATTTAGAAGGCTGAGGTGGGAGGATTGCTTAAGCTTGGGACATGTAGGTTACAGTGAGCCAAGACTGTGCCACTGCACTCCAGCCTGGGTGACAGAGAGACCCTGTCTCAAAAAAAAAAAAAAAAGAAAGAAAGAAAGAAAGATGACTGTTAGGAGGTTGTGCAGAGGCTACTGGGTCAGGAAGGAACACACACTAGGGATGCCAGCATGATGAGAGCCAGACAAGTTCTTGTAACAATGGGTCTTGATTGGTCCTCCCTTGCAGGGGTAGTGGGGAGGGGGCAGGAAATTTGTATGTAAGATCCAACTGGAAGTTGTTGAGTCCTTCCTTATCAGATGGAAATGGATGCCCAATTTCTGTTTGGCAATTCAATCATATTGCCAATGCACTGTTATCAATAGTGGCCTGGGAGTTCCAATAATTCCATCAAATTTCTTTTGTTTTTAAAGAAGGTAATCTTAAGAAGAAAACTTTAATTTCATATTTCATGACACTGTTACTTAAGTTCAAACTGCACCTGCATTTTGAGAGTGCAGTTTGCCATGTGCTTGCCCAGTACCTAGATTTGTTGATGAAAGACAGCACCTCACTTCTGCCCCTTTCCTTTCCCTCATCTAGCTATTCTTTGCTATTTATTTGTGTGTATACTTGACCTCCCATTTAGCATCTTTTCAAAAAATTAATGTAGTACTCAGACAGAACTTTATATATAAAAAAGGTAAACAAGTATTATGACAGGGAATAAGAGGAAGTGAAAGAGATAAGTGAATTAAAAGGTTTTTCTCTCTGGACTCAGATGTGTCCTCCCAACTGTGACCATTATAAAGGGTTTCCTTATAAAATCTAACTCCCATAGGGAACTTAAAAGCAATTAAAATAACATTAGTGTTTTTCATAACTTTTTAATGCTTTTATGCATGTGATAAAACCTTACTAATTATTGAAAAGTTATTTGTATTAAGATTTCAAAGCAGAGATAATCTGTGCAATTTAGAATCCTAAGCCATCAGCAGGAAACTGGCTAACAAAACCAGAATTCCCTTGCCAGCCTCTCCAGTTGCATCAGTGAACCTCAAACAGGATCCTTCACTGGCAAATATTAGCTTATTGCAGTTTTAAAATAAATAAATACCTTGAGCAAATGTGCAGTGACACCAAAAATTAGTTTTCACAAACTGACTAAATATAGTATCTGTTGGGAAAAGGTAAATGAGTTCTAGTGGAAAAAAAATACAGAGTTCTAGAATGGAGGGCATACAAGCATACATTTCTGTAAATGGATGAAAAATTTTACTGTGATCTGAATGTAATCAACATTCAAGGCTCATTGTATGGAAAGAAGAAAGACAGAGGCTTGCAGGGCAATTTCCTCAATTCAGCTCAGTATCAATTTTTTGTTTTGGAGCACAGAATGCCCCACAGCACATGCTAGGCATCCAAACCATAGGGCTGATTCCTCAACTCCTCTGATGAACTAACATGTGATGTGCTAACCAGACAAGGTTCTAAAGGCAAGTTATAGAAAATGTGGTGAGGAAGGTTACTGAAGTTTCCAGAGTGACATAAGGAAAATTTCAGAGGTGGAAAGGTCCTTAGAGGTCACCAAAGTACAACTCTGTCATTTTGAGGATAAGGAAATTGAGTTCCAGAAACATCAAGTGACTTGCTCAAGGCCATCCATCCAGGGAGTGTCAGAACCCAGGGTAAAAGGATGTCTCAGCTTTTGAGGAAATATTTCTTGCATACGTCATATGAATGACAGAAGTATACTGAAAAGCATATTAGCAAACAAACCTTCTATTAATACTTTGAACATAGTACTATGGAGGTGGTGATCTGGGGACAAATCTGGGTTACCTTAGACAAACATTCAAACTCTTTGGCAGCCCCTTTTCACCAGGGGCTAGAAATAGATGATGCCAATCTGAGAATAAATATAAGACTCAGGAACATCACGTGAGTAATCCCCAATCAGATAATTAAGAGTTGTCTGTATGTGTCACCAAGGTCCCTTGATAAATTGTGCCCCACCTGAAAGCTGATAGCTGAAAAGAATTAGATTCCCTATATGAACATAGTCTGTCTGACTAAGGTGTAAAATAACCATAACCAAGTATCCAGAATCATTTTCTAGGCTGGTTCAGCGATGACAAGTGAGTAACATCAGTGCCCTTAGCAATAAAAGGAAGCAGAGAGCAAGCAAGTCAATGTAATTATAAAGTTTGCCAAAGTTCTGTTTAAATCCATTAAGTGCAATAAGCCAGCTCAGCTGACATCTACCTGCACAATCAGAAGATTATTATTTCACTGCTATATTTTACAGGGAGTAAACAGTAGAAAAGAGTGTGGGGACGGTTTATGATTGAGTCCAATCACAGACGTTCATCAGAGAAAGGGCTCGGCTTCTGAGGAAGACTGCAGTATGCAGACAGCTGCCCACGGGTGAAGAAAGGAGAAGTTTGCAGAGATGGAGTTCCAGTTAATGACCTATTTATGAGGAACAACATGAATTTATTAACCTGAAATCAGTGCATTAAAAAGCAAAATATGTTTCCATTCATTATATCTTTATTTTGCAAATTGCAACAAAGGTGCTTCTCATAAATACGTATTCACAAAAAAACACCCACACACATACATAAATACACACCAACAACCCCAGTAGTGAAAATAGGGGCGGGGGAAAGTAGAAAAAGACAGAAGACTCAACACGTGGTAGTGTTAGAAAGGTTCAGGCTGCGGAGGGATACAAGAACAAACAGGAAAACTACTTTTGGAGTCAGGCAGCTCCTTGACTCTTTGTCTTCTCTGTTATTCATGTTATGCCCTATCATAAAAGACAAATAATGAATTGAGATACATAAATCAGCTTTGTGCTTATGGTTAAGGTGTTGTTTATATGGCTAGTATTTAGCCTGACCTTTGCTTAATTGTGGTTTGTTTGTCTGTAGAGTCTCAAATTTCAAACCAGGAAGCATGTTGCTGAGAACCATCTGTTTTGGAGGGAGAAGAAACAGTATCTTCTCCCTCGTATGCAGTTTTGCTTGGTAAGCCTTCAGGCAGTACAGGCCACGGATTTGAGGGTCCCGGGAGGAATTGAAAAAGTTACACATTTGTCTACAACTTGTCAGGCTATTCCTAGGGGTACCCACCAACTTTCTGTTTCTTTTACAGAAGAGGCAGCAAAATATGATGGTTAAGAACATGGACCCTGGAGCCCAACTGCTTGGGTTCAAATCTTTTCTGTGCCTCAGTTTCTTCATCTATAAAATGAAGATAATTAGAGTAGAATTCTTAAATTTGGTTGTGAAGATTAAACTAACACGTGCCAATTACTTATCACACACTAAATTAGGCCTGGTTCATACCTAATGTCAATGTCTTGCTGCTTTCCTTCAGATCTTTCCATCTGCTTAGCACAATTAAATATATTCTGACACAGATTGCAGAATTGCAAGACTTATCTTTATGTGATTAAGAGCACAAATGCTAAGCCAGCATCCACCTGGACTAGAATACTGGCTCCACCCTTGGTAACTCCATGATTTTTGTTAACCATTTCCAAGACTTAGTTTTTTAAATTAGTAAATAAAAAAATAAGATCTGCCCTTCAGAATTACTGGGAAGGTTAAAAATGATTGATGTATTTAAAGTACTCAGCATGGTAATCTGGCACAGTATGTTCTCAGCAAAAGAAACTGTAGAATTATTATTTTTATTATATCCTAGAATTGTCAGACTAGAAGTAAATCTAGATATCTAGTTGAATAAACACATTGTATGAGAAAACTATCTATCCATCTATCCATCATTCATCCATCCATCCCTTTATCACTCCTCCTCAACACTTTCTCCATTTTTAAAATGGCAGCTAGACCATTCTATTCATCTGTCTCAGGGAAGAGATGTGACAATAGAAAGGAAACATGGGCAGTATTCTTCTAGCTTTGAATTTCAAAGACCAAGACCCTCGAGGAAACATAAATGATTCAGTATAGACTATCAATTGGGGAATAAGCTTAATGATAAAAGAACTAAACTTTCCATATGTTTAGGCAGTCTACTTCCCATGGGCTGGGTTAAGAAAATGATGGATACACAGAAGTTGGTAAATCCCAAAGAAAGTGGAATCTAGTGATCAGCTCCCTAGATCAAGCCCTAGAGAATTGGTGAAACCTTAGATTTGTAGCATCTGAAAGCATAGGTAACTTGTATTCCATTATGTAGGGTGGGCTAAAGGAAGACAAAATCACCAAAGGGAAATATCTACATGCTATATCTAGGATAGCAAGGCCTAGGTCATCATTTTAAGAGTTTACCACATCCAGTGAGCATTAGAACATGAAAGTAGCAGAAAAAGCCATCGAAGCTGAAAAGACTTATAGATAGAAGCAAGGGATGCCTTAGCTGTAAACTGTATAGAGTGACCACAAAGGACCACATAGGAAAGAGGATGTCTCAAGGTTTGCCATCATAAGCATATATCATCAGCAGTCAGCTACCTCCAATCCCCTCCTTCCCACAGTGAAGCCATGACACCAATAAGACTTCTAGAATCTAGAAACTGCCATAGGGAGAGAGAGAAATCACATAATGAATGGCATTACATTTCTGCCATCTTGACAAAATAAAAATTAAATTGAATTATAGAAGAATAAACAAATTTATATTTCTTGTACAGCCTACTTTGTACAAGAGCTGGAATTACTACCTGCTACACAGATGGGTAAACTGAAATTCAGAGAAAGTAAATTGCCCCATGTCACACTGTCCTCCAATATCCAGCAGAGCTATCGCAGCTCTCTTTCTAACACAATAATTGGAAGGAAAAATTTGATCTTACTTTATATATCCTTGTTTACAGGAATACTCCTACTCCTGGAATATGATGGCATAACTGACTTTAAACTATTTTTATCATGGCCTTTTTCTTCAAACAAAATATTATGCAGAATCCCAATATCAAGAAAAGGTAGACATAGAGCTTCCTTTGATTAAGGTGTGAATGTATATTTCCTAATTTCCTTGAATCACTTCTATGGAATAACAGAACTCTGAAGAACAAGTTAAAGCTGAGTTAGTGGAAAGGCTACCTTACTCAAAGTGTGGAAACCTGGGACATACCCTCAACTCTAAATGTCACCAGTTGTCCATAGAATAGAAGGCCAAGCTGCTCTGCAATGCAGTCCTTTCCTTTTTCTAATAAAGTGAGCTAATAATTTCTAGATCAAAATTTTTAAATGATTTGAATATATATAACAATTTCAGATTATAGAAATTCTATCTGCCCAGTCTTTTCATAGTTTCCTGGTGTTATGCAAACATTGTGCATTGTTACTCACACCTCTTCTTTTTCCTTTCAAGTAAGGAAAGTACCCAGTGTCCATTACTACCACCTCTTGGAATAGCATTTGAACATACCAGCACTAATAATCAACTGGATATACAGAGTAGAAAATATCAGACACTAAGCCTTTAACAGAGAACTGCAAGTGCCAGAGATACTACAAAACATAGCTATTTGAAGGCAGCCAAGGAATCCAGGACATAAGGTATTATAATTTTTAAAGGGAAAAAAAACACGTTAAGATAAACTGACATTGTTTTCTACTTTCTCCTTGAGGCATTTTACCATAAGTAAGTGACCCAAAGCAAAGGAAAACCAAGAATAAAATGGTAGCTCAGAGGCTTCAGTAGTCATATGAGTCTAGGTGGTAAAATATAGATTTCACTGCTACCAAGGCAGCCAAGCCTTGAGGGGTCAAAGTATCAGAGAAAAAAAGGAATACAAACATACATGTGAGTCCAACACTTGATACTGTTTTTCTCTTCAAGGCCTTTGCCAATTCTCCAGCTAAAAATAGCAAGAGTCAGGGAAGCCAAATAGAAAATAACAGTTTAGCAAAACTATTGACAATCTCACCTATTGAACTATTGACAAAATCAATTTTGGAAAACAAAAATTGGAGTTGAGCCTGACAAGTTGGAGTAATCTGGGGAACATAGAGATTTTCAGTTGAGAACCCTGAAAAACAAATAAACCAGCCCTTACAAAAAGTGAAACTCAGCTTTAAGACAATTCCTGATCTCAAGGAAATCTGCTCATATTCCAATGCTTGCCAAAAGAAATGTAAATATGATCAGAGGAAAATAACATTATATACAACCTCTATAATTTTCTTTGTATATATAATGGCAGGAAAAAGTAACTGGGCACACCAAGAGATATGATCAAATAACTGGAAACCAAGAGGAGAAAGAAATAGGAAATTCAATAGATGTAGAAATGATTCAGATGTTGGAGTTAAAGTTCAAGGACTTTAACATAAGAGTAATTAATATATTTAAGAAAACAGAAGACAAGACAAATCCATAAAAACAAGAAATGAAGTAAGTATTTAAAAATGTAATAACTCAGAAATAACTCAATACAAGGACTTATTGCACATTAGACACAACAACACAAAGAAAAATATCCAGATAGAGGCCTGGTAGAAAAATGTAAGAAACATATGGAACATGATGGAAAGTTCTAATAGAAATGTAATTAGAGTCATAGAAGGGACAGAAACTAAGTTTTAAGGCAAAATAGTAAAAACTTGTCCAAATTTTAAAAAAGATACAAAGCCACACACACAAATGTGAATCAAATGTAGGATAAATTCAAAGAAAAACAGACCTAGTCACAACATAGTAAAATTGCTTATAATCAAGGACAAAGGGAACATATTAAAAAGAGATAAACAGATGATTTACAGATAATTCTCTTCAAATGAGCAAAAACAAAACTTACAGCTGACTTTTCAAGAGAAACAATGAAGCCAAAGAGCAGTTGAATTCAGTCTGAAAAAAAAACTGTGAAACTATAATTCTAAATCCAGCAAATATTTATTTCAAAAATATCGATGATAAAGGACATTTTCAGACAAAAACTGAAAGAAATAATTGTAAACAGAGCTGTGACAAAATAATTATTAAAAGCTGTTCTACAAAGAAAGCAAAATGATTTCAGAGAGAAGTTTGGAAGTTCAAGAATAAATGAAGAGATATGTGGATAAACCTATGTTAATACTGAATGAATAAAATATTAAAAATTATTATTGAGGGTCTTAGAACATGGAGAGAATTAGAGGCCACAATAGCATATATGTTGGTTGAAGAATAAGTGGAGTTAAATTATTTCTTGTATTGGCAGAAAATTGGGTAAAATAGTAACTTGTAAAAAATTGTAATCAGCCAAGGATTCACATTATAATATCTAGGGTAAACACTAAAAGAGTAATAATGAGATGTATAACTTAAATATAATTAAAGGAAATAATGAAATATTAAAATAGTTACCAGATTATAGAAAAAAGAAAGCAATAAATTGAGGAGTATCTTCAAAAACTGATAGATGCATTACCTTTGACTCAGCAATTTTACTCTCAACAGAAATGTATACAGGTATACAAATGTACATGATAACATTATTCTTAATATCAAACACAGTTTTAAAAAATGGAACAATACAAATTTTCATCAAAAGGAGATTGGATAAATAATGGTATATTTGTATAATAAAATTTTATGTACTACTGAAAATGAACACACTACAGCTACAATAAAACATATACATAAATTTTACAAACATAACATTAAGCAATAAAAATCTAGACACAAAAGAGTATTTACTATAGGATATCATTATCACAACATTCAAAAATAAGAAAACTAATCCGTGTTGTAAAAATTTTTACATGCGAGTTACCTTGGAAGGGAGGTTACTGTGATAGAGCATTGGGCAAGCTTCTGGTGTATTGATAATGTGTAATTTCTTCATCTGGGTGGATGCGCCATTTTGTAAAAATGTCTTCCACTGTACATTTAAAATTTATGTGTTTTTATCCACATGTAATTCAGTAATAAGGAGAAAAGCAGAGAAGAATGAAAATGTAGAAGCACTTTTGGTGTGGTGGATAAAGTCATTTAGATGAGAATATCAGTAGTGATGTTCCATTAAATGAGAAAAAAAAAGATAGAAGCTTGGGGCAAAATAGTTGCTCAATATTTGTAAGGCACCAGCATACATTTCCTTGCTGAACTCTTATTAAGTACCCCAGAATTGAACAACATATTGTGGTAGATTAGAAAATGTCTCATACCTTGAATAGCTTATTACAAGTCTAGTAAAGAGTTAAGTTTTACACATCCAAAATAAAGAATAGTCTTTGTAAGTCTGTATCAAGGATAAAATGATATAGGTAAAACTGTAATGCACAGACACTGAAAATAGAGTGATCAATACTGGAGGAATAAGGGCATAATCCATAGCGTATGGAGCTAGGCTTTAGATGGATAATATCACAGAACTACAATTTTTTGTTTGGCTAATGGGATTTATTACATATCTTGTCACAGGGATCCTTTGGGAGAAATTAGTTTGTATGATTGTTTATTATAAGAAAATAATTCCATTCTGTATTGCTTTTTGTGGATTTTTACAGCATCCATAGTAGATCAATTGAGCCACTTTTATAAAATAAGATTCACAATTTATTTTCTTCAGACTCAGTGAGAGGGATTTTGGCTGTGTGGTGTAAGTGGTGGTTGAAAAAATCTGCCTTCCCATCCTGGTCTCTCTACAACATCATGCCATCTTCCTGGAGCACCATCGAATGGCACTGAGAGTTCAGTGGAGGCAGGAAAGCCCAGAGAGACAAGCTTAAAAAGAATCCCTTGTGGAAGGTTTTCGGACCAGGGGTTGTTTTTATTTATTTATTTTCAAACTGCGTTGACTAAAAGAGTTAATTTCCCCTGAACCTGTAAGCATCAGATGGGCCTGCACCTTCCAAGGACTCTTTTCTTCTTTAAAAGCACAATTGTTGTTCAGTTTCTCTCAGGTGCAGATTCATTAGCTCTTGACTGGCTCTCCTTGTTTGCTGACTACTTGTGGAAAAAGCCATTTACCCTGGTGAATGTCAAGGTTAGTGCAAACTGTCCTTGTCATCAGTCTCTCTGGCAGAAGGTCAGGGATAAGCTTTCCTCAAATGGGCAGCATCAAACAAAGCAGAGACTGACTTAACTCACCAAAAGGAAGAAAGGAGGTCTGGGCAGAAGTTGATAAATGTTCCTGTGGGCTTTGAGGACAAAAATTAACTCTTCCCTTTCCACTTCAATACCTGTTCCCTGGAAGATGCCTTATAATATCTGGATATTTTAAAGCATATGAGTTATGTTTATTAAGTAATGAATAGCCACTTACATCTATCAGTAGTTATATCTCTATCTATCTGCATATCTATCATCTATCATCTAACTCAGTTTTTTAAACAAGTATTATACCTTTCTGTTTCCAATTTGTAATTATATTCTCTTATCTTACCCTTGCTCTGATTGATCTTTTTTATTTTTCGTTATTTCTCTCCTCAGCTTACTTTTCTCCCCCAACTTTTATTTTAGTTTCAAGGGCACACCTGCAGGTTTTTTACATGGACAAATTGTGTGTCGCTGAGGTTTGGTGTACAAATGATCCCGTTACCCAGGAAGCAAGCATAATACCGATAGGTAGTTTTTCAACCCTCACTCCCATCCCACCTTCCCCCGAGTAGTCCCCTGAGTCTACTGTTCCCAACTTTATGTCCATGTGTACTTAATGTTTAGCTCTCACTTATAAGTGAGAACATGCAGTAGTTTCCTGTTCCTGTGTTCATTTGCTTAGGAAACTGTCTTCCAGCTGCATCCATGTTGTTGCAAAGGACATGATTTAATTCTTTTTTATGGCTGTGTAGTATTCCATAGTATATATGTACCATATTTTCTTTATCCAGTACACTGTTGATGGGCATCTAGGTTGATTTCATGTCTTTGCTACTGTGAGTAGTGCTGCTCTGAACGTATGAATGCATTTGTCACTTTGGTAGAATGATTTATTTTTCTATGAGTATATATCCAGTAAGCAGATTGCTGGGTTAAATAGTAGTTCTAGTTTAAGTTATTTGAGAAATCTTCAAACTGCTTTCCACAGTGGCTGAACTAATTTATATTCCCACCAACAGGATATATGTGTTCCCTTTTCTCTGCAACCTCACCAGCATCTGTTATATTTTTTGACATTTTAATAATAGCCATTCTGACTGGTGTGAGGAACCTCATTGTGGTTTTGATTTGCATTTCACTAATGATTTATTATTTTTTCATGGATTTGTTGTCCACACATGTGTCTTCTTTTGAGACATATCTGCTGTGTGTTCATATCTTTGCCCATTTTTAAATAAGGTTATTTGATTTTTGCTTGTTTTTTTTTAAAGTTCCTTATAGATTCTGAATATTAGAACTTTGTTAGATGTTTCGTATGTGAATATTTTCTCACATTCTGTAGGTTGCCTGTTTACTTCTTTAGACAAATGGTAAATGACACATGAAGCACTATCACATTCTGAGATAGTCAGATTTTAATGTATTTTCATAGAATAGTACAATTTTGAAGTCGAAAGGAACATCAATATTAAGCTAGTCCAGCCTTCCTCCCAACAAATAAATCCTCTGGAGCAATTTTGGCAGTGATAACCCAACCTCAGCTTGATCACTCCTAGTGACTGAAACATCCATCCCTGCCTCACAGGAAGGCCATTCCAATGTGGGGAAGCTTTTATCATTAGAAGGAAAGTGTTGCCTTGTACTTAGCTAAAAATCCATCTCTGAGGAAGTTTAAACTGTTGGCTCAAGTCCCGTCCTCTAGAATGATAAAAAAAAGCTAGTCCTTCCTCAACACACAGCTCTTCAAATGTGTGGAAGAGTAATTATGCACCATGTAGGTTGTTCCCTCTCTTGGTCAATTATCCCAATCCTTACATGAAATGACTGCTAAATAAGGCACTTTTCTGTTTGTGCTCCTCTGAATAACCATTCATTTTTGCAATGGGGGATCCTCCTTAAAATGTGGGATCTAGAAATGTGAACCATATATTTCAGATGTTTATGAATACATATTTATGTATTACATATTATATGTTTTCATATATTTATTATTCTTCCAATGCGTCAATTCCCACATTGATTCTCTGAGGTATTAATTAATATCCAAAAGACTTTTTACATAAGCTATACGCAGGCAGATTTGCACTTGTATGTTTGTATTCCAATCACAAGTCACATACCAAGTATATGTTTTTAACTTATTGTATCAAAGTTTTAACTCAATTATTTGCTAGCCATTCTTGGCCATCTGTTATATTAACATATGAAAGCCCATATTATTATTCCAAAAAATTACTATGAACCTAGTATACTATTCTCTCAGATACACCATTTGCCATACTCCCAACTTCATGTCTTCTCCTCAGAGTTTTGCTGGGAAATTTTGTTTTACTCTTTCAAAGCTATTTGCAGAGCTCTAGGTCAAATCACAAAAATATAATCCTAAATAATTTTACTGACCTAAACACTTTTCCAGCATAATAAGTCCTACTTTTTGGTCCTCAAATTCAGAATTATTCAGAAATAAATGATGTCTACTCACAGTTACATTTGTTCAACATCAAGTAGGAATGTGACATCCTTGAGGTGCTTCTTACAGCCTTTGCATTTTGTCTTCCATATATAATCCTGATTTTACTTTCTCATGACTTTTCTAAATTTTTTTGGGACTTTAATCTTGTAGATCTTCTTCAATCATCTCTAGAATTCCTCCATATCATGTAATTACCTGAAGCATTAAAAAATGTTCCTCCTTTGCCTGTTTTCTTTTTACCTTCGCCTCTGGCGAGCAAACAAACTTCCATTCATAGCACATGCAACAGTTGAGTACTTGAAGGAGGAAAATTAACCTAGAATATAACAGGGCATTAGGGCGGTTCCTGCAGTTTCACCCTCTGGATATCCAGAGGAGCTGCTGCCTTGTATGGCTTCTCCTAGCAACTGACTTGTAAATTGCTATGACAGTCTATCCACTTGCCTTGTGTATTCCCTACTGAAGTACTTATTTTTGAAAGTCAGCCCAATGACCCAACCCTCTGACCATACCCTTCATGTCCTTGTCTCCCAAGGTCTTAACAATTGACAGATTTACACTCCTAGATAACAGCCTCACTTTCTTTAACACCTAAAAATACCAAGACTTTTAGAAGGCTTTGCTCTGGAGTTTTCCCATCTTTTAGAAAGACTCCTATTTTCCTATCTGCATTTAACCCTTCCCCTGTCCCCAAGCCACCATACACTTGTTCAGACACTTAACAACTTAGACCTGGGAACCTGCAATAACTTTTGAATTGATTACCCTGTAGACTCAAAACTCCAAATCTATTCTATACGCAAGCTCAAAATTTACTTTTGCATATATTTCCTGACTCAAAGGCTCCTAGTTTTCCAGTGTGTACCAAGCAAAACCTCATCTCTGTAGCTTGGCTTTCACAGTAATAAAACAGTTCTAAGCATAATCATACTTTTAAGTTTTAACAAATATAGGTGGCACTGTGACGAACATAATTTAAGCCATCACCTGAGATCCTTTATAATTATTCTTTTTCCTTAAAAGGAGTCTTTCCATTACTCATTTAACAAGTATGATCCATTTAGAACTATGAAGAGCATAATAAACCCTTCAAGAAGATCTGTTGATTTTGATAATCCCAGAAAATGCATATAGATATTGAATCAGTCCAGGAAATATCAAGGATGAGAAGAGTTCTAAACTAAGTTTATTGTTACTGTTTTTCCTATCGCACCCTCATTGCCACGAGGCTTCCCCAGGCCCCTCAGGTAAAGTGTAAGAACTCCGAACATTCATCCCCTTCCCCTCTCCTCCTATTGATGGCACGATCTGCACAGGTCGTGAGGGGAGAGGCTCACTCAGACAGCACCTGCTAAGAGGAGGAAAATCAATTTTCATCACCCAAAAATACAGAACTGCTGGCACACAAACTAGGTGCTCAAGGTCCCTAGGGTCTAGAAGGCAAGTCCTACTAAGAAAGACATATGTTTGGAACAAAAGTCAATACTTTCTCCATGTAGCCCGAATAATAAGGGAAGTAGGGAATGAAGAGGCAGCAGATGGAATGTTCCCATGTAGGTCTCCAATTCCACAATAAATATCAAGTGGAATATAGAACCATTTTTGCATCACAGTATTTGGTGGAGATCTTTCTGAGAGTAATCTATAAATTCTTTGATATTCTCATCATTCTAAAAATGCCAAATTCATCTGAAAAGAATAACTTACCTGTGATTCATGTTTTACTATGTTTACTACAAATTTTACTACTTTTCATTATGACTTTTTATTCCTACTTTTTTCTATTAGACACTTAACTGATATTTCAAGTTAGAATTTTATAATTTGATTCCTGAGATGATTCGTAGAAAAAGACAAAAGTATAGATTTGCATTCTTGAAAAAAATAAGTCACAGAGAGGCTGATAAAACCACAAATCCATATACCTTGACACAAGTGAGTGTTACAGTAATACTTTCACCAACATTTTAATTCACATTTTAATCACATAAGCAATGCACAAACACAAATTTATTTTATAAATGGAAGCAATATGTAGCTAAAGTGAAAATCTCACTTCACACAACCCCAGTATCACTCCTCTCACAGAACTGATCACTGCAACTGTTATCATTTAAATGCATCTTCTGCATTTTGTCCTATTAATTTACATAAAATACATATTTCCACATGTGTGTTTAATACATAAAAGTGCTTACTTTTTCATAAATGGGATAATATTTAATATTGTTTTATAACAATTTTCCAATTAATAACTCTTTTGAAGATCTTTCTATTTCAGTATTTGTAAATCTGCCTTAATCGTTTACATTTCTGAACAGTTTTCCATAACATTGATGAACTTAATTCATATAAATATTTGATTACCAAAACATAAGAATCGTTTATCCCCAATTTTTCTCAATTATGAAAACAAGTGCTATAATTAGTGTCTCTTTACCTGCTTCCTTGTGTGCTTTGCAAGCGTTGCTCAAGAATAAATACTGAAAAGTGGAATTTCTAGATCAAAGTTTATGGGAATTTTGAATTTTGATAGAAACTGGAAAACTGCCCCTCTAAAAATATCTTTGCAAGTTTTCATGCCCATCAATAGTGGATTATGGTTCTCAATTTCCTAAACATGTTCAAATAATACCTAAGTATTTTCAATTCTTTAGAGTGTCCTTTTTACATTTTAATTCTTCTGTCTTTTTTTTTTTGGTTTAAGGTCTCTTTAAACTTATCCATTATTTCTATTTTTCCTTGTGTTGAAACCACCTATTAAGTTTTTGTGCAATTTTGTATTGAGATACATGTTTTCCTTGTTGAGTTATTGGACACACACACACAGACATCTGGATAAGAATGCTTGCTCTTTTATATATGTTTCAGTTATTTTCTTTCAACCTGTCATTTACCTTTTATCTTAGGCTGTAGAATCTGTGTCATACAGAAAATTTAGTTTTTATGTCAAAATGTCTGTCAATCTGGAAAGCTTTCTCAACCCCAAGGTTGAAAAACACTGTCCTAAATTTTCCTCCTCAAAATCTTCATTGCCTTCCTGTTTTTTGTTTTGTTTTGTTTTTGCTTTAAAACAAAAACAAAACAAACAAACTTTGGGCATTTATTATTTCATTCAAATTCAAATACTTATTAAGAATGGATACTGAATCATTTGAAAAATACTTTATTCTATATTGAGATGATCATACATTGTTTCTTTTATTGATTTGTTAATTTTTTTAATAGATCATCTAATTTTGAACCATTATTGCATTTCTGAGATATAACATATTTGTTCAGGATTTAGGATTATTTTAACAGGTTATCTATTACAAAATAAAATGTACATCTATTGGTTACCTTTGTTGATATTTGATATATTTGCCTACATTTTTCTTCTATACTTAATAATAAGATTGTCCTTTAGTTTTTTTTTTTTCTTGGCTGTTTTTTATATTCATGAATTCTGTATTCATCCAATTTGGGGATCAAGTATAGCATTATTATAGAACAGACTGGGAAAGTTTCCTTCATTTTTTTTTTCTAGGTTCTGGACTACTTTTGTAATTTATGATTTTCTTGAAACTTTGGGAAATTTAATTGATATTTACTCTTTACACATTTTTAATAATTCAGGTATTAGAAAAATATAGAGAAGTGCACAAAATATAGCTTATAGCCAGTGACTATCACAAGTGAACCTCCACGTGAATACCAGCTACATCATGAGGTAGACTATTACCAGGAATCAATATGCCCTCCTTTCATGCCTCCTTCCAGTCACTGCCCTCTTCCTCCAAAACTGCAATCAATACCCTGATTTTTAACATTATAATTTAGCTGTGACTGCTTTTTAACTTTATGTAAGTGGAATCATATAGCATGTGGTGTTCCCTTTTATATCTGACTTCTTTTGCTCAACATTCTGTGTCTGTGAATTCATTCATGTTTCAGCATGTAGTAATAGTACATCTATTTCACTGCTGTATAATAACCGCTTGTACAGATATATGACTTATTAATTTGCCTATCAAATGTATTGTTTGAGGTTTTGGCTATTACAAGCCATCCTTCTGTTGACATTCTTTGATTTTTTTTTGGCACATATGTGCATGTATTTCTACTGGTTATTCCAAAGAGTGGAGTTGTTTTAGGAGATAATGCCAGTGAGCAGTGTTAGCTGACATTCTCAGCAGCAGTGACCCAGCAGCAATGCTCCACACCTGCTATTTTAGCTAAAACTTTCCATTGTCAGTCTTTTTCATTTTAATTAGTATGGAGAACGCATACTGACATTTCAGTTATTTCAATTTCCAACTTCCTTTTGAGCATCTTTTCCATATGTTTATTGGTCATTTAAGTATTCTCATTTTTAAGTGACCATTTAAGTCTCCAAATCACTTGTAGGTAAGGTTGTGTGTTTTCTAGAAACTTTAAGGTCTATATACCAGATGAAATTGATTTTGTTACTGGTGTGAAGTAGGGGTCAAAAAATGTCTATTCCCCATATGGATATTCAGTAGACCCAGCAAAGTCAATGAAAAGGTTGATCATTCCTACTTTCTTACAGGAATCTCTATCACAAATCAAGTCTCTTTAGCTTAATTAGATCCCATTTGTCAATTTTGGCTTTTGTTGCCCTTGCTTTTGGTGTTTTAGACATGAAGTCCTTGCCCATGCCTATGTCCTGAATGGTATTGCCTAGGTTTTCTTCTAGGGTTTTTATGGTTTTAGGTCTAACATGTAAGTCTTTAATCCATCTTGAATTAATTTTTGTATAAGGTGTAAGGAAGGGATCCAGTTTCAGCTTTCTACATATGGCTAGCCAGTTTTCCCAGCACCGTTTATTAAACAAGGAATCCTTTCCCCATTTCTTGTTTTTGTCAGGTTTGTCAAAGATCGATAGTTGTAGATATGCAGCACTATTTCTGAGGGCTCTGTTCTGTTCCATTGGTCTGTATCTCTGTTTTGTTACCAGTACCATGCTGTTTTGGTTACTGTAGCCTTGTAGTATTGTTTGAAGTCAGGTAGCATGATGCCTCCAGCTTTGTTCTTTTGGCTTAGGATTGACTTGGCGATGCGGGCTCTTTTTTGGTTCCATATGAACTTTAAAGTAGTTTTTTCCAATTCTGTGAAGAAAGTCATTGGTAGCTTGATGGGGATGGCATTGAATCTATAAATTACCTTGGGCAGTATGGCCATTTTCACAATATTAATTCTTCCTACCCATGAGCATGGAATGTTCCTCCATTTGTTTGTATCCTCTTTGCTCCTGCACAGTGAAAGAGACTACCAACAGAGTGAACAGGCAACCTACAGAATGGGAGAAAATTTTTGCAATCTCCTCTTCTGACAAAGGGCTAATATCCAGAATCTACAATGAACTCAAACAAATTTACAAGAAAAAAACAAACAACCCCATCAAAAAGTAGGCGAAGGATATGAACAGACACTTCTCAAAAGAAGACATTTATGCAGCCAAAAAACACATGAAAAAATGCTCATCATCACTGGCCATCAGAGAACTGCAAATCAAAACCACAATGAGATACCATCTCACACCAGTTAGAATGGCAATCATTAAAAAGTCAGGAAACAACAGGTGCTGGAGAGGATGTGGAGAAATAGGAACACTTTTACACTGTTGGTGGGACTGTAAACTAGTTCAATCCTTGTGGAACTCAGTGTGGCGATTCCTCAGGGATCTAGAACTAGAAATAACATTTGACCCAGCCATCCCATTACTGGGTATATACCCAAAGGACTACAAATCATGCTGCTATAAAGACACATGCACACGTATGTTTATTGCAGCACTATTCACAATAGCAAAGACTTGGAACCAACCCAAATGTCCAACAATGATAGACTGGATTAAGAAAATGTGGCACATATACACCATGGAATACTATGCAGCCATAAAAGATGATGAGTTCATGTCCTTTGTAGGGATATGGATGAAACTGGAAACCATCATTCTCAGCAAATTATCCCAAGGACAAAAAACCAAACACCGCATGTTCTCACTCATAGGTGGGAATTGAACAATGAGAACACTGGACACAGGAAGGGGAACATCACACACCGGGGACTGTTGTAGGATAGGGGAAGAGGGGAGGGATAGCATTAGGATATATATCTAATGCTAAATGAGGAGTTAATGGGTGCAGCACACCAACATGTCACATGTATACATATGTAACAAACCTGCATGTTGAGCACATGTACCCTAAAACTTAAAGTATAATAATAATAAAATTAAAAAAATAAATAAAGTCTCCGTGTGTGTGTGTTTCTGAATGTGTTCTATTCCATTAGTATATTTTTCAATGCCATATTGTTTTAATTACTGTAGCTTTAACATAAGTCTGATATCTAACAGAACAAGTTCTTGCAACTTGCCTTTGCTACTCGTGCCTTTTTTCTTTTCCGTATACGCTAGGAATTAGCTCACCAATTTCCATAATACAATCTGTTGGGTAATTTGTTTGGAATTGTATTTAATCTAAATATCAATTTGGGGGGAATTGATATTTTTATAATTTTTAGTCTTCCAATCAATGGACATGGTATCACATCTATTTATTTAGAAACTATTTTCTCTCAATATTGTTTTATAGTTTCCTGTGTAGACATCATATACATCATCCATTGATCTGTCCCAAATAACTTCTTATTTTTGCAAATTAAAATAGTTTCTCCTGATAAATTTCTTCTTCTTTTAGAGGTAATTATACAATAATATAATTGTAATATATGCAAAATATATTTTATCCTTTTATCTGTAAACTTGCTACACTCATTAATTTATCTGAAAGGCTTTTAGATTTTTATGATTATGACTATATTATCTTTGATAGTATACATTTTAGTTCTTTTATTTAATTCTTATATCTTTTGTTTCTTTTAAAATCTCTTTGCCTTGAAAATGACCCCTAGTACAAAGTTAAATAGCACTGATAGTAGAAAACACCCTTAAATCATTCTCAATCTTGAATTCCCTTCAACGTTTCATTACTAAATACGATGTTTGCTACAGGTGTATTTATAGTTATATTTTATCAAATTTAGAGAACTTATTTTTATTCCTAGTTTGCTAGGATGTTTCATGTGTTTGTTTTAATTGTAAGTAGAAAACGTTTCTAAAATTTATTTTTTTTGTATTTATTTAAAAATTTTTTTACTCTGTTGATGTGATGAATTATGTATATGATGTCTACACAGGAAACTATAATTTTCTAATGTTAAATAAATTTTGTATTTTTGAAATAAAATCAACTTAGTCACAAAGAATGGCTATTTTTATTTACTGCTGGATTTGGTTTGCATTTTGCTCTTAGTTTGTTTATAAAAGTTTTCATTTATGTTAATAACAATTCAAGATAATTGTTATTTCTGTAATTCCTTGTCAGTTTTGGTGTAGAGATTATGCTTGAAGTGGTAGTGCTTCCTAGTTTTATTTTTGTTTTTTGTTCTTTAGAGGAAGGTGCACCAGATTGTCATGACTTTCTTCTTAAATAACTGGTAGAATTCATGAAAGAAGCCATTTCATCATGGAGGTTTTTTTTCCTTTTGTCCATAGAAGACTTTTCATAAGAAAGTCATTTTTAGCAGTTAAATACATTCGAATTTTCTATTTTTTCTTTTTTCTGTTTTTGTAAGAGAAAATTTTCCTAAGAATTTGCTTATTGCAAGTAATTTTTTTTTTAATGGAGTCTCTCTCTGTCACCCTGACTGGAGTGCAGTAGTGCGTTCTCAGCTCACTGCAATCTCTGCCTGCCGGGTTCAAGCAATTCTCCTGCCTCAGTCTCCCAAGTAGTTGGAATTACAGGTGCACACCACCATGCCCGGCTAATTTTTGTATTTTTAGTAGAGATGGGGTTCCACCATGTTGGTCAGGCTGGTCTGGAACTCCTGACCTCAGGTGATCCACTCGCCTTGGCTTCCCATGCAAGTAATATTTTTAAATGTCTGGCATAAAGTTTTTGGAGTATAAAACTATTATTATTTGTAGGATCTATAGCAATGTCTCTTTTCATTCCAAATTTTATTCATGAAGTTTTTCTCTTTCTACCTGTCTCATCAGTTTTATCAGTGTAACTGAAATTTATCAATTTCAGTAAATATTTCAAAGAATTAATATTTAGTTTTGCTGCATGTTTGTTTTCTTCTATTTCTTTAATTTCTGCTGTTATTTATAATTTTCTTCCTCCTATTTTCTTTGGGTTTCATAGTTGTTTCCACCTCTCCCTCCAATTTCTTTAGATTCATGCTCAGGTTATTTTTAATCTTTATTATTATATACATGGATCTAAAGCTATTATTATCCCTCTATATTTCCTTAGCTCTAATCGTCAAGTTGTAATATTTTTATCATCACTCATTTCAAAGAAATTTCTAATTTCCTCTATAATTTGTTTTTTGAATCAAAACCTACTTAGAATTATCCTTCTTAATTTCCAAACATATGGAAATTTTTCTTATCTTTTTGTTTTTGTTTTCTAGCTTAATTTGCTCGTGGTCAGAGAAGATACTCAGCATGAAGACAATCCGTTGAAATTTGTTTAGACTTTCTATATGAATCAGCAGATGATCTATTTTGGTTAATGTTTCATGTGCACTTTATACAAATTCATATTCTGCAGATGTTGGATGCAGTGTTCTAAATCAATCACATCTTGTTTGTTAATTGTGTTGTACAAATATTCTATATTCTCACTCTTTTATTCTCTGCTTTGTTTTATTAGTTAATGAGAGAATTGTCTTAAAATGTACCACTATGGTTATAGACTTTTTGGGACTTATTTGCTATAGCTTCATCAGTTATTTTTGCTTTATATATTTAAATGTTTTATATATAAACAAATGTTTTATTTGTATATTTACCTAAAATGTTTTAGGTAAATATACAAATTTAAAATTATTATTCCTTCCTGATGAATTGGATCTTTTGCCATTGCAAAGTAGCCTCCTTAATTTATTTTAACAATTTTTGCCTTGAAGTCTTCGTCTCATAATGACATACTTACAAAGCCTGCCTTTTGGTTAGTGTTTGCATAGTATACATTTTCCATCCCTTTAATTTTTACCTTTCTGTGTCCTTATATTTAAAGTATTTTTCAATTTGCATTTAGTTGGGTTTTTTTTTTTTGCTTTGTCTGAAATTTTGCCTTTTATGGAGCATTTATTCTACCTATATGTAGTGTAATAGCTAATGCAAATTTTTAAAATCTAAAATCACTATTTCCTATAAGTTTGTCTCACTTCTTTTATTTTGTTCTTCTTTTTATCTAGTTTTGGACTAATTGAAGTGTGCTCTTTGTAACCATTTTCTTTCTTTCTTTTATTACCTTGGCTGCTACTTTTATTTGTTTCTTTATTTTGTGATTACACAAGAAATTAGAACATATATTCTTGACTTACAAAAAGTTTATATAAGATGGTTATTCACTTTTTCCTAGGCATTTCATGGGCCTCAAAACACTTTAAGTCCATTTACCATATTCATGTCTGCAAGCTGCCAATTTTCTATATTTTAATTTTAAGTGCATGTATGCATGTTTGTGTATAAAACCTGATGATACATTAGTCATTTTATTTTTTCTAGTCAATATTCATTTAGATATATCCAAATGATTAACTTTCGGTACTCTTTTTTTCTCCTTTCTTCATACACTAGATTATTTTATTTTCTTTAAAGAATACTCTTCAGAAATTCTTTTACTGAGTTACTGTTATAAATATTTTACTTTTCCCTGAAAATTTTTTTATTTCAGAAGGATATTTAATTTATGTTAACCTTTTTATTTTTCAGCACTTTAAAAATATCATTTCAATATTTTCTGTCTCTCATTGTTTCTGCTGAGAGGTCTGCTGTCAGTCAAGTTGTGGCTCCTTTCAAAGTAATTTGTCTTTTTGCTCAACTGCCATTCAGATTTTCTTTGTCCTGGGTCCTCAGTTGTTTTACCATGATAGGTCTAAGTTTCTCTTCATTTGTTTTACTTGGAACTCATAGTCATTCATTTATAGTTTGTATTTGTATTTTAGGCATTGTCTCTTCCAATATCATTCTCTTTCTTATATCCTTTCTACTTTTCTTCTATGTCTTAGCATGTATGTTAGAACTTCCCATTTTGCATCTTTCATTCTCCCTTCCGGTTTTCTTCAGTTCATTTGTCTATGCTGCTCTTAAGACTTTTTCCATCTGACCTCGTCACTAGTTTACTAATTATCATTTTAACCATACCTAATATGTAATTAAATCTATCCATTGAGTTCTCAATTGTGGTAATTATATTGTTAAACTTCAGAGTTTGCCTAAAATGTTGAAATATATTTATTTATAGCTCCCAGTTTTTTTTGTCATTCTTTGTCCTAATTCCTGTTCACTGGATCAGGTATCAGCAAATGCACTGAAGTAAAAGAGGCTCTAAATGCTAGGCTTACCTCTCTATATTTCTTTTTGGTCTTAATGTTTTAGTCTGATAAATTCTCAGTGTTTTACTAGCTCCTCAATGACTTCAAGCATATATATATATATAAAATTTATTTATATATATTTAGTTTTTATTTTTTTCAGCCAGATATACTTTTTAGGTTTTTCAACTGAATACTTAATTTAAACTATCTATTCATTATCATCATGATTAGAAATCCAGAGTTGATGGACTTTCACTGCCTTTCTATTGTTACTGATCTAGGCAAGATTTCCACCTTTTCTTTAATGAATTTGATCAGTTTTTTTTTTTTTTTTTTTTTTTTTTTTGAGACTGGGCCTTGCTCTGTCACTAAGTCTGGAGTGCAGGGGCACAATCATAGTTCACTGCAGCCTGAAACTCCTGAGCTGAAGTGATCCGCTCATCTCAGTCTCCAAAGTAGCTGGGACTACAGGTGTCTGCCACCATGCCTGGCTTATTTTTTAAAATTTTTTGTAGAGCCAAGGAGTTAAAGACTAGCCTGGGCGACATAGCAACCATTCAAGTAATCCTCCCACCTTAGCCTACCAAAGTTCTGGAATTACAGGCATGAGCTACTGGACCCAAACTATGTATGTTTACTTTATTTGATCTCTGCTCTTAATATTATTTTCTTTGTTCTCCTTGAGTTTAATTGCTCTCTTTTTCTGCTTTCTCAGGGTGGAAGCTTAGATTACTGATTTGAGACTTTTCCTTTTTTCTCATGTAAGAATTTAGTGCTATAAATTTTTCTCTCATCACTACTCCATCTGTGTCTCACAAATTTTAATATGCTATGGTTTTCATTTCATTTATTTTACTGTATTGTTAACACTCCTTGAGACTTTCTATTTGATTCATGAATAATTTTAAATTGTATTGTTTAGTTTCATTTCCAAGCAGTGTGGTGATTTGACCATTATAATTCTGTTATTAGATTGTCATTTAATTGCATGATTTTCAAAGAATACACTTTATTTGATCTCAATTATTTTTAATACTTTTATGTTTGTTTTATGATCCAGGATACAGTCTATCTTAGTATGTGTTCCACAACTACTAGAAAAGAAAGTATATTCTGTTGCTTTTCAAAAATGATCTATAAATAGAAGCTATTGAGATTTCCCATAGCCTTGCTCATTTGCTGTCTAGTTGTACTATCAATAGTGGAAAGAGGGATGTTGAATTGTAATCTAATTGTAATTATGAGTTGTCTACTTTTCCTTTCAGTTCTATAAGTTTCTGCTTCACGTATGTTCAGCTCTGTTGTATGGTGCATACATATTTAGGATTGTTATATCTTTCTTCTCTTCTCATTGCATTGATCCATTAATCATTCTGTAATGTTCCTCTGTGACCCTAATAACTTTCTTTGCTTTGTGATATGGTTTGGCCCTGTGTGGAACTGTAATCCTCATTATTGGGGAAGGGACCTGTAGGAGGTGATTGGATCATGGAGGTGGATTTGCCCCTTGTTGTTCTCATGATAGTGAGTGAGTTCTCATAAGATACGGTTATTTAAAAGTGTGTACTACTTCCCTCTTTGCTCTCTTTCTCATGCTCCCACATATAAGACGTGCCTGCTTCTCCTTCACCTTCCACCATGATTTTAAGTTTCCTCCCCAGCCATGCTTCCTATACAGCCTGTGGAACCATGAGCCAATTAAACTTCTTTTCTTTTCTTTATAAATTACCCAGTCTCAGATAGTTCTTTATAACAATGTGAGAATGAACTAATACACTTTGAAATCTATTTTACATGAAATCAATATAGACACCCCTGCTTTCTTTTTATTAATGCTTGCATAGTATACCTTTTTTCTATACTCTTGCCTTAAATCTGCCTATATCATTATATTTGAAGCAAGTTTCTTATGTACAACATATTAATAGCTTGTTATTTTTGTCCATGCTGCTAACCTCTATCTTTTAGTCAGTATATTTAGTCCTTTCTTAGTTAATGTAATTATTGGTATTTCAGCGCTTAATTCTTTCTCTGTTTATTTTCTGTTTGCTTTCTGGGTTTTGGTTTCTTTGTCCTGTCTTTTTGTGGATTCAGTGTACATTTTATGATTCCATTTTGATTTATATGGATTCAGTGTACATTTTATGATTCCATTTTGATTTATATGCAGTGGTTTTGAGTTTATATCTATACATAGTTTTAGTGAAGGTTCCAGATATTATATAATATATAAGCAACTTATCAGAGTCCACTGCTATCATTATTTTACCAGTTTGAGCAAACCATAGAAATATTATCTCTCTTTACACCCATTTATCCTTCCATATTCATTATATAACTACCTTACAAGTTTTGTCTACATACAGTGAGAAACACATTAGACAAACACAATTTAGAAAACTAAAAAGAAGCCATTTCCATATTATTTACCTATATATTTGTTCTCTTTTTTGTTTTCTTTCTAATGTTGAAAAAGTGCTTCTGTTATCTTTTTTTAAAAAATGTCTTTAATTAAGAGAACTTTATTTTGCCACTCTCTTAAGGTAGTTCTGCTGGTGGCTAATTCTCTTAGCATTCTTTTAGCTGAGAATATCTTAATTTTCCCTTTGTTTTCGGATTCAGATTGATTTCAAAGGGTAAGATCAGCAGGAATAACAGAGTAATGATGTCCAATAATTTAATCCTTTATACAAGCAATGAAAACACTGACCAAAAAAAAGTGAAATAAATATTTTCAGTACTCTGAAAATTAACCAAACTCAAGAAGTATTTATTCAATAAAAGTATTGTGGTAAGATTGTGGTAATAACAGGAAACTGCGGCACTTCAACTGTCCATTTTTCTATTGTTTTCTCTCTCTAGATCTATAGAACCTTTGAAAACAAAAGTCCTCACAATCAATGTAGGCATCAAAACCAGCAGCTTCATAGCCATTGGGAGGGGCAGACAAATTTTGGGTTTGGACTTCCTCAAAAGTCCTATAGCCACAGAATTGTCATTATCTGACTTATTTGGAAGTTCCCTGGAAACCCCAACTTGCATGGCTTTTCCTTATTATTATTATTATTATTATTATTATTTTTATACTGAGAGTTCATACTCTAAAAACAGCTTTTTCTCCATGGTATTTGTTGGAAACAATTAGTGGTAACTGTTTAACATTGCAACTGCTTGAGGTGGGAAAACAGCCGGGATAAACAAGAAGCTGAACAGAAAAATAACTACAAGGGTAAAAAACTAGGAAAAGAGTTGTTCATAGGAGACTTTTTAAAGTTTTGAAATATTCCTGGGAATCTAGAATGCCACATACATGTGGCTAGGAAATGCCCAGGAAATACTTGAGAAGGCTCTGCTCTTTCAACTTCAGCCAACTTTGAGGATCTCCCCAAGCAGGAATAAAAAAGAAGGCAGAGTTGCAAACTCCTTGCAAAGCATTGAAGGCATACCACAACACACACAAAACTGCCTTTGAGAAGGCAGGGAAAATTATTAGTTCAATGCATTTAAGAAAATCTTAGTTTAATCATCAGCTGGCCAATAAGCTTAAATGTCCACACAGGACAAGGAAAAGAGATATCACAGAAGAAGTCATGGAAAGTAATTAAACAAATAGCCACAAAAATAACAAACAGCAACAGCAACAACCCTGGGAAAAGTGTAAGGAAATCTGATTTCCAAAGTTGCCACATTATTTAACTACAATATTTAGTGCTTGTTTTGGCAGCACATATACTAAAATCAGAATGATACAGAGAAGATTAGCATGGCCCCCACACAAAGATGACATATAAATTTGATTTTATAATTTTATGTGCTAATTTGATTGTGTTAATCATTACACAATGTATGCATATATCAAATCATCACTTTGTGCACACTGAATATCTGCAGTCTTTATTTTTAAATTAAATATTTAAAAATAAAGAAATAAAATAAATATATATAAAATATTGAAAATTGTGAGAGATGCAAAATTATGAGAAAGTATGGCCCATACACAGTAAAAATGCCAGTCAATAGAAACTGGCCTGTGAAACCCAGAAGTTGTCCTTACTGGAAAGACTTTAAACAGAGTTTAAATCAGCTATTTAAAATATGTTCAAAGAGTTGAAGAAAACCATGTCTAAATAACTAAAGGAAAATACAAGATCTACAATGAACTCAAACAAATTTACAAGAAAAAAACAAACCCCATCAAAAAGTGGGCAAAGGACATGAACAGACACTTCTCAAAAGAAGACATTTATGCAGCCAAAAAACACATGAAAAAATGCTCACCATCACTGGCCATCAGAGAAATGCAAATCAAAACCACAATGAGATACCATCTCACACCAGTTAGAATGGCGATCATTAAAAAGTCAGGAAACAACAGGTGCTGGAGAGGATGTGGAGAAATAGGAACACTTTTACACTGTTGGTGGGACTGTAAACTAGTTCAACCATTGTGGAAGTCAGTGTGGCCATTCCTCAGGGATCCAGAACTAGAAATACCATTTGACCCAGCCATCCCATTACTGGGTATATACCCAAAGGACTACAAATCATGCTGCTATAAAGACACATGCACACGTATGTTTATTGCAGCACTATTCACAATAGCAAAGACTTGGAACCAACCCAAATGTCCAACAATGATAGACTGGATTAAGAAAATGTGGCACATATACACCATGGAATACTATGCAGCCATAAAAGATGATGAGTTCATGTCCTTTGTAGGGACATGGATGAAACTGGAAATCATCATTCTCAGTAAACTATCCCAAGAACAAAAAACCAAACACCGCATATTCTCACTCATAGGTGGGAATTGAACAATGAGAACACATGGACACAGGAAGGGGAACATCACACTCTGGGGACTGTTGTGGGGTGGGGGGAGTGGGGAGGGATAGCATTAGGAGATCTAACTAATGCTAGATGACGAGTTAATAGGTGCAGCACATCAGCATGGCACATGTATACATATGTAACTAACCTGCACACTGTGCACATGTACCCTAAAACTTAAAGTATAATAATAAAATAAAAATAAAAGAAAATCTATTTCCATTTAAATGGAAATTGAAAGACAGGGATAGAGGAAAAATATTCCTATAATTTCACAACATGATATATTATATCAGGTATCATGATTTGTAACCTTTGAAATCTTTTGTAACAAGTGTAAAAATTACAATTGTCAAAAATAAAGACCTTTATAACCTAAAAAAAACAAGAAGTATGACTAGATAGAGAATATAAATCAAAAACTAAAAATTATAAAAAAGGAACCAAAAGATAAATTATCAGTTTAATTATCAATAGATCAATATTTATAATATATAAATAAAAGCTACTTTGGGTGAATGTGACCATAGATAAATATTAATAATTTATCAATAGATAAATTATTGAGCTGAAAACTACAATAACTCTCCTGTTTATATAAAAGATAAAAAGCTCAGAGCTAGGCAATCCAGGACTGGTTTATTCCTGCATGATTTCATCTGTCATCACCTGGGACCCCTGGAAAGAGAAGTCTGAAACAAAGGCTAACATGTAGGATGTTTATTTGTGAGCAGGAATGGCAGATGGAGGGAGTGTATGTGCAGAGAAGGGAATGACAACACTGGACAACGTTGCTTTATTTATATGAAATCACTATGGATCACCTGTTGGAATGTTCCATGGGATGCCAGATAAGCCTTTTGAAATATATATCAGGGCTCTTTGACAGAGAGAAAGAAAAAGGAAAGCATGGATCTATTGGCTATGTCAGCCATTGAAAAGGGTATTTTTTATTCCCAACATGTGTTAACTCTTTTCATACACTACTACTAACACTTATGGGTTGCAATTCCTTGAGAGCTGAATAAGTTCCTATTAGTTTCCTATATGAAGGTAAAATGATTAGAGATTCTGTAGATCAGGAAGGGAGAGGTGCATGGCAGGCAGGCTTCACCAGGTTGTTTTGTTGTACCTGAGCAAAATTAGTTATCTAGCAATGGCTGGAATAATAGAAGAATGCATGGAGGTGTTTAACAGAACACTGATGTCGTAGATTCCTTCCATCTTTTTCTCTTCCACGCTTACTGTGTAGCTTCCATTGTCTAGATCTCCTTGGAGTCAGAAGGTCCAGCATGTTGCAAAAACCGTAGGCTAATAAAAGCAAGAAGGGGAAAGGGAGGCTGGGTGATGCAGTTTTCCAGCTTGGCACATCCAGTAATGCAGAGCTTGTGTTTGTAAGAGGAGGAAAAGGAGGAGAATGGAAATTGGCAATCTCTATCACAACTCTTAGGGAAATTTTGAAATAGGGACAGGAAATCTTTGTCCTTTTAGCCTTCATTTTAAAACTTCTTTTATCTATGGTCGTATTCTCCCAAAGTAACTTTATTTCTTACCCTCACCTCTTACAAATCCAAAATGGTCAGAACTTACCTCAAGATTGTTGACCTGCCTGGCTTCCCCTTCAAACTTATCCAAGTGGCATTCATTTTAATAACAAGTTAAACTCATTATGTGAATTGCACAATTCTATTAGAATATTGTGATCCCACGTAAATGCTATTAGTTCCACAAATGAGCTACTCTATGTGAAACTGCTTAGAAAACTATAAAGCGCTTTACAAATGGAAGAAAAATTATAATGTCCAAGAGAGAAAAACATTATACTAAACTGGACTCATAAAATGCGAAAGTACCCACTGATGCAGTTCCAATTCGCAACTTCACCCCTTTTTGTGTGAAAAGGTAAAGGAAAGCAAAGTGTGTTCTTTGTAAATCCCATTTCTATGACTAATGTTCTTCTACAGCTAACGTGTAATTTTCTTTCTCTGATTTGTTTTCTCATCTTACCCGACATATTTTCCATCCCTTCTGTCTTCTTAGAAGTGCCACTTTGTTGAGGGGGGAGGTTAGGTTTTGCAAGAAGTTTTAAAATATGCTGTTAATGAATGAATGGACAACTAATTACTTGCTAAATGCATTAACACAAATCTGGGTCTGAAATTGCTTTGGAATTAATTTGGGACATATGTGCACATCCTTGCTTATATTTGTGGGGGCATGGTACATGGATTTGCATTTGTATATGAGAAAGTCTTTTCCTTTTTTACACAAACCTGGCTACAAGGAAGAAAACTCATTATCAGGTTTATCTTACTTTTCAAACTCTATTACTAAAAAAAGATAAATTCCTAAATTATGCTCCTCATACATTGATTTCATTCTCTTTCAACTTGTTCTCTCTCTGCTGCCCACACACATACATACACACCCCAAATGCAGTCTGTGTACAAAGGTAGGAGGATTATAAATAAACTGCACACCAAGTGAAGCAACGCTGCTTCTATTCAACGGATCACAATAGTGATTATTACCTAGATCTAGTTGATTTCTAAAAAAAACAACAACAACAACAAAAACCTTTTATTTCTGTTTTCCCAAATTTCATTCCTTCCTATTAAATACTGAGGACTGCCAGTTATCATATTCTTATTATAGAGACAGAATTTTCACTTTAGTTCAAACATGAGCTCTGGTATAAATTGCTTTTTAATAGCAATGATGATTTTAAGTGTCTACCTATAGATATTTTGAATATGCAGCTATTTCCTCTGATGGAAATTAGCCAGCAACAGGGTTTCATTAGCATTCACATTTGCAGATAAGTATTATATTTTCCTAGACATTTTTTAAAACTTAGCTCTTGGATGATGGCACTGCCAAAAATATACGGCCAATTTATACATCAGACAGGATCAGAGACAGATTATTCCTTAACTTGGCACAGAAGCACTTGCTTCTCTGAAAACTAGGGCTTCCCTCTTTGGGGAGACACTTCCTAGAATATAAAATCAGTCTTACTGTTAGGCAAAACTTCCAACTCATTCTAGGAAAATGTCTTGCCTGTTTGCTACATCTGGTCTTCAGTAGCCGTATCAGTCATAATCACATGATCTTAAGCCCCTCAACCCTTGCATCTCAAATATATGTGTTTCAAGTGGGTTTGTCTTCCCTGATTCATACTTATCTTCTATAATTTAGGGGAAAAACTCAAACACCGTTCCACAGCTTGTCCATTTCCTTACTGAAACCTAGACTAGTCCATGTTATGGTCTGAATTGTGTCCCTTGGAAGACTGATATCTGGAAGCCCTAAGCCTCAATGTGACTATATTTGGAGATAGGACATTTAAAGAGGTAAGTAAGGCTAATTGATGTCTTGAGGGTGAGGCCCTAGTCCAACATGACTGATGTTTTTATAAGAAGAGGGAGAAACACCAAGGAGGAACATGCACACAGAATTAGCCATCTGCAAGCCAAGGAGAGAGACCTCAGGAGACCCCTGCCAGCTCCTTGATCTTGGACTTGTAGCCTCTCGAAGTATGAGAGGGCAAATTTCTGTTGTTTAAACTACCTGTTCTGTGGTATTTTATTACCACAGAAGCCCTAGCTGACTAATAAGGTCCATTTTACAATTTTGTAATCAGATTAGAGGGTGTAAAAACCCCATCGAGATCTCGGCTGCCATTAGGAATGTAGGGACACTGCTATTAAATGATTCCCTCAATCATCCTTTCTGTTATAATTCTTAATGTGTGTGTCCAACATCTCTTCTCCACTTTCCTGGTAGCAGCTATCAGCTATCTGGCCTTGGGGGTAACACTGAATCCAGAAAAAGCTAATTGCCTCACACTTTACCGTAGCTGGTGATCATTCTGGGAATAAGCCTAGGACCCACATTGAACCATTCACAGCCCTTTCATATTTTTCCTAAACTGAACTAAAAACCACAACAACAACAAAAGGAACTATTTCAGATATGGTTATGAGGTTGGAAAGATGTGAGCCTGCAGTTGGAGAAACCCTCTTTGTGGGAGGAAGGAATGAAGCTACCAGCAGAAAGAGGCACACGTAAGAAACAGGAGAAAAGGAGGCAAAAGAGAGATAGAGAGAGAAAGAGAGGTGTCAACACAGAGGTCTCAGCATCCAGGCATCCTGACTGTATCCTCTCCTTCTATTCTTTATTATTTATTTATGTATTTATTATTCATCCACTCTCCTTTTCTGCCTAAGTTACATTGTTTCTGTTACATTGGAATTCAGAGAGTCTTTCTAGTTCATGATTATAAAGAATATGAAAATTATTCTTCCTCAGCTTTTTTTTCATTGATGATCTGCCTTCTGACCTCCAACTCCTCTCCCCTTCCTAATTCACCACCCTTTTGGGGTCTCACCAGGAATAAAATGCGGAAAATCAGAAAGAATAAAGTCAGCGAAAAAGCAGGGAATCAAATGAATTTCTCCTTACAGTTTACAGCTCTGAAGTAATTTAAGTAAGTCCATTCAGAAGTGAGAAATTAAAATTAAAAATCAAAGAACTAGGGCATCTTGCCCACCCAGCCAATTCATATTTCCTGAGCTCAAGCTTGATAGAGAATGCCTCAGGGCGTCCCTCCACAGCACTTCAACCTAAGAGATTTATTCATATTCTTTTTTAGCTGCTTTTTAGCATCCTCACTTTATTCATGTAGTTTCCAGTATCCACACAGCTGCTGAGGGTTGCACAGGACTCCACAGAGGCACCCTGCTTGTCTCAGGAAACTCACTTTCCACCAAATCCTTATTTCTATCCTTCCTCTTCACCCCCTTGCACCACAAAGTCTTGAAATCTTATCTTTTTGTATTGCTCCTTCAATTAAAACATATCAGTTTTGTAGCCTATTCCTCTAGGAGTCTGCTCAGTGACCAGCTAGTTCTAATTTGGTCAAGTGTAGCTGAGATGTCACTAGTTGATAATGGATTAATATTTTACTCTCCCAGAGAACATTTACATTTTTACAGTGGCCTTAAGCTAAAGGAGTTAGTTACATGAGGATTTCTGGCAGTAGGAGTATAACAGATATTTGGGGACTAGGAATGTTTTAGCACCCCTCAATTCACATGTGCAAGCTGGTGGGCCTGCCCATCTGGTTGGGCCTGTCCTCTGGGATAACTCCATGCCCACCACCGAAGAGCGTTCCTGTCTGCAGAAACTATTTGCCTTCTTCTACTCTGAGTGACCTTCCCTTTTCTCCCTCTGGCTGACACCATTGTTCACTTCTTCTTGCTCTATTATTGCCTTTATCAGTATCTATAATTTTATTAACTCAGTAAATTTAGGTGCTCTTAAAGAGCACATCAAAAGTTCAAGCCATGCCACACATCCCTAGAAACAGTTCTGAAACAGAAATGATAAATCCAAAGTTATTTCAGGGAAGGACTAGCAAATGTCATCAGCGTGGTCCTGGTCATTTTATTGGCTTTAATTGAATAGGTCCCTCAGAATCCATGGTTTTATTGGGACCAAAGACAATATAGGGATGTAAATGGCAGGAATGGGATTCACAAGGAAGGCACCATGGGCAATCATGTTAAAAATGCTGGTGCTGCAATTTAAGAAGGGCATTGAGAAAAAAAATGGTGTTTTTAAGAGAAACTGGAAAAGGTAAGAAAACTCTGCCCCACAAACATCAGAAGAACTGCAGTGAAGCAAGAGGATGGGGATATTAAAGCTGTTCTCAAGTTTTGGAGGCACATTATCTAGGAGCAAGAGTGGAGTGATTCTGGATTGCTTCGCAAGACAAAGGTGCAATCAATGGGCATATATTAGAAACAGGCAGATTGTATCTCATTTTAAGGGAAATTTTCTAACAAGCAGTTGTCTTGCAGTGGAATGAGCTGCCTTCCAAAGTCATTACTGATAATATTTAAAAAGGATCTAAAGGGTCATTCACCAGGGCCTTGTAGAACAGCTTCCTGCACTTATAGACTAGACAATCTCTGAGGCTCTTTAAATACTATGATGCTACCTTTCTGTAAAACCCTCAACACTAGATTAGCTGGCTGACCCACCCGAGTGACATCAGGATTTTGTGTGAGCCTTGGGAACAAGGACAGGAGGCAAGTAACAGCAAAAATGAGTCAGAGGAAGCAACACTTCCAATCTGTCACCTGTTGGCAGTTGTAGTCTTTTGACTGTCTTTAGCCTGTTGGCTACTCACCTCCCCATCTATTCTCTAAATGAAGTACTCCAGCAATTGAGCTTGATTCAACAAGCATGGACGCTGTGCTGCTATAAATCATCGGTCCCTTCCTCCCTGAGCCCTTCAGTGGTCGGAGTAATTGGTTAATTGCCAGAGTTGTTAACAAGAATTAAGAATTCAGGGGAATTGGCTAAGAATGCAGATCTGTTGCAATATGCTTAGAACAAATGTGTTTGAAATATGCACACCTAAGTCAAAACAAATAGGTCTTGAGTCCTTTTTAACAATGTTTGAGACTGGCTAGGTCAGTGTTCCCTTTTTTTAACGGTGTCCCATGGTTTTTGTTTGTTTGTTTTTTTTTTTTTAAAGGAACGTAGTTTCTTTCACTGAATCTTCCAGTTGCCAAGTCCTAAGAAACTTTGCATTCTCTCCCTCTGCTCTCAATACTCACCGAGGCATCTCTCCATGCATAACCCTCTCTGCACATCCCACTTTTCTTTTGAAACAATCATCCCTTCTCACATGTTTTGATTTGTTCTGTCAAGTGAATGGATGAAAAATTTTCATAAAGGATGAGACAAATCCTAACACACCGCTGTCCATAACAGTATAAGCCCACAGATTTGTGCCCACAGGGATACAAGTTTGCAGATATTATAGCAGTTCCATTCTGGGTGGGACTCCTGGGCATTGCTGAGTTCCCTGCAGGTAATCAGATGTTTTTAGCAACAGTAAATCAGACACTGTCCATCCTTATGTTTTTTCAAAATATTCCCTTCGTTTTATTTTCCTTGATAACCTTATAAAACATGGAGAACAGCTACTATAATGACCTCTGTTTCCAAGATGAGTCAGTTGAGACAGAGCGGTTGTTATAAAGCCATGACTTAATCCTTAGATTTTCTATTTCCCATATCCTATCTTTATTCTTTCGATATCTTACTTTCACGAATAGTTTAACTTCTCTGCTTTAAAAGTCTGAAGTACCTATTGTTTCGTAATCTTGAAGTTTCTTCAGAATTGCTCATAGGATAGAACCTAGCAATGAGTAATTGGATTCAATTGTGTATACTTTAAGGTGTGTGTGTGTGTGTGTGTGTGTGTGTGTGTTTCTCAGAAGAATTGTGGAACATGGGGTGTGGCGCAATTTGGAGCCAGTCCAGTACATATTTGTAGAGTAGAAATAAAAACCTAGCCCCAGCTACTTGGGAGGCTGAGGCAGGAGAACAGCGTGAACCCGGGAGGCGAAGCTTGCAGTGTGCTGAGATCGGCGCCACTGCACTCCAGCCTGGGCGACAGAGCGAGACTCCATCTCAAAAAGAAAAGAAAAGAAAAGAAATAAAAACCAAGTCCGTGAGAAGCAACAAACACGGATTTACAAGGATTGATAGTTTTTACTCTTCTAAGTGGTCAAAGTTAGGGGGCATATATTTGAGTCATCATTAAACCAAGGCCTGATATGTCCATAGAAGATCTTTGAAGAGAATTAGATGAAAGTAAAATAATGTATCCTAAAAGCTTTTGAAATGCCAGTGAGTTGAAACATATACAGAGGTCCTACCCATGAAAACTGAGGTGTCATGGCCTACCCAAGTAGCAGACCAGGAACAGAAAATACAGCCAAGAGACTGACAATCATTACATAGCATAATTACCCCACAGTGTTCTCATAAGTTGCCATATACATCTCTTGTATTGTACAACATGAAGGAGCTAAAACCCTGGCAGAATAAACTGATTAATAAGAGAATTTCAAGTAAAGATGACTTAGTGTTTCTCAGCTGCTGAAGATCATTACTACTTCATACACTAAAGTTGAGGCAATCCTATGTCCAGAATTCCAAGATTGTCTAGGTTTCATGAGATTTTTTAAAGGTATCTGTTAAATATCAAGCCAATTATGAAACATTTTGTAACCATGTGTCTTAGACTCCTCAGGCCGCTGTGACAAAATACCATAGATTAGGTGCCTTAAACAACAGAAATGTATGTCTCACAATTCTGGAGGCTGGTAAGATGGAGCTCAGGGTGCCAACATATTTGGGTTCCCATGAGGGCCTCTTGCCAGTTTGGAGATGGCCAGCTTCTTGCTCTGTCTTTACTTAGTGGAAAAAGAGAGACAGGCAAGCTTGTGTCTCTTCTTAATAAGGTCATGAATCTCATTTATGAGGGCTCCACCCTAAAGATCTAATTACCTCCCAAAGGCCCAATCTCCAAATATCATCACATGGAGGATTAGGGTTTCAATATGGGAACTTTGGGAGAACACAAATATTCAATCCATAGTACTGTGCGAATCCCAAAAAATCACTTTTCAAATTATAATAAAAAATCCTTTTTATAAAGGATTTTCTTTTATAATGAAAGAAAAGTCAGAGCACATGCTATTTTGGCTCAGCTAATATTTTAATCTGAATAAGAAGACTATCAGATCTTTTTAAAAAAGTTTCCAAGATCTGGAGTTAAGGAGATCAGAGAGAAGAAATCAGATTTTGCATGTTCCCAACAAGACCCAGTGGGAGGAAAGAAAAATGGGACACTCAAATAAGATTCCGCCAAGTGCAGTGAATTCTGAGCTCCACATAGTGTGGCAAGTCATATTGGGAAGAGCTGGTTCTGCCACAGAGCACGTCTAAGAGAGGAAACCCCAGCCTAGCACTGGGCTATGCTTCAGGTATGGTGGCACTGTATCCAGCCAGCCTTCATGATACTTGTGTCCAAGTTTTGTGGAGAGCTTGGAGGTTATAAGCTATTATTGGATAAGTGATTTTCCTATATACTGTTTAAGTCTTTGGGCACAGTCAACAATGCTTGAAGCCCCTTCTAGCAGAAAATAACACCAACATAAAGGAGGCCTTTTTTGCCACTTTCCCATGAACCAGATCGGCAACCTGGGCCTCTCTGGGCTCCAGAGTCTCCCCTACTGCAGGGAACAGCAGAGTGCCAGGGCATAGAGGGCATAGCACTGTCCAGTGGAAACCTAGGTTGCACTGAGAGATTCAGGCAGTGGCAGCCTCCACTAGACATGGACTTCTTGATGGAAACTCTCATCAATACTGGCTGCATGAGTAGCTGTGCCTCCTGGGAGCAGACAACTTATGAACCAGAGCCAGGGAAATAGTGACGCATGGCAGAGACTAGTGAGCAAAGGAGAAATGTAGGTGACAACTTTCAGGCTCAATAAAAGCTTGTGATTGAACAGATTCATCAAAAGACCTCTTCACATTATGTCAGTGCTAAATATTTAATAAAATATTAGCCTTCCCATAAGAGTGTCTAAAGAGAACTTTGAGGAATAGATTCATGCCTACAGATATACTTCTGGCACTTGATCAGGACTGTTAAAAATCAATAAAATCAGCATGGCATGGTGGTTCCCACCTGTAGTCCTAGCACTTTGGGAATCCAAGGTAGGAAAATCACTTGAGGCCAGGAGTTTGAGACCAGCCTGGGCAAGATAGCAAGACCCCATCTTTACACAATGGCACGTGCCTATAGTCCCAGCTACTTAGGAGGCTAAGGTGGGAGGATTGCTTCAACCCAAGAGGTCAAGGCTGTAGTGAGTTATTATTGCACTAGTGTACTCCAGCCTGAACAATAGAGTGAGACCTAGTCTCCTGAAAAAACAAACAAACAAACAAAAAAACCCAGCAAAATCCTCAACTGTCCATTGGAAAGGAAGCAGAGGTATGAACAATAAAGCATTTAAGTGTGAGAAACATCAGAGAAGAAAATGCTCACTTCAGAACCACTCTAACTTCACTGTAGTTAGTGAGTCTATTATTGGAGAATCAGTTTTCTGTTTACACAGATCTCCAATCGGCTTGTCATTTCTTTGCAGCTTCCTTCTGCTAGAAGGCCATGTTCCCTAAAGGATGCTTAGCGTTTGCTAGAAGGCTGTGTGCTAGGCCATCCTATTTAACATATTCACCCTCATAATCATTCTCCTCCATCAAATTCAGAATAAGATTACAGACCCCAATCCCAACAGGTTTTATACCTGCTCTCTGTGTTTTCCTGAGTTTTTAACTTCTCTGATACTTTGGAGTTTTTAAAGAAATAAGTCTCTTAATTTCCCATTTCCATTTCCAGGTATAACTAGTTGGATTGTCATCTCTCTGAAGAGGTTGGGAGACTTTTCTAAATTGGCTCCATTCCAGGTATTTCATCACATTCAATTCAAGAATTTGCTTGGCCAGTGCAGTTAGTGAGTTGCTGTTGCACCAGGAAGAAGTGAAAAAAGTAAGTACCGTGGCTGTGGGAACTGCTATACTAGCAATGAGCAAGTCTCTCTGGGCTAGACATAGGGCCCAGCAGCAATGAGAGAGAATCTTAGGGGGTCGGTTTTAGAGAGTTTCGATCACACTTAGTTGAGTTTCAATTCTCACTCTGCAAGTAAAGAACCAAGTTTTCTCCCAGTGCTCAGATTCTTGGCCTCCCACATGGAAACGGAATCACAAAGACATGTGTGTGTGTATGCATATAGACGTATGCTTGTATTCCAAACTCAAGAGAAAGAAAAAACTTCCCCAGATTTTTCAATTCCTACAAGAATTATAGTTTACTATTTCTGGATTTGGATCATTGAGTTCCCTGGATTATTAAACATAGCAAAAAGCCATCTGCAATGAATCGGGCTTGCTCCTCTAATTGAGTCATGCTGTGAAGCCCTTTACTGTTTCCCTCACTTCATTGCCGAATATTTTTTCAAGAATGATAGGAAATACATTTTTACTACTAATGCCACCTGCAGGTTAAAGAGAAACTGTTGCAAGATTCTGGAAATCCTGAAATCCTCACAGCACACTGTAATAAGTCCCTCCAAAATATTTCCCAAACCTTGCCAATCATCAGGAACATAGTCTTATTTCATTGACAATGCTCTTGATCAGAAATATGTTTTTGCAACCATCATTGCAGCCAGCCTTTACTCCTTACTCGACACTTAGGCCGGCTGACACTTACATCTAAGAACAGGTAAGGAGTCATTTTCTAGATATAATTGCTTTGGGCTACTTCATGCCACAGCATCTCTGCGCCCTTGTAAAGGGCCTCATGTCACAGGTAAAGGTGGTAGGAGAGTTATCCTCAATCAGTTTCCACGTGAATTATTTCCTGGGTCAATCATTCCATGCACGTGCTGTTACCTGGGTTCACTGTGCTAAGTGAATTAGCACCCGTTGTGCCATCTACATGTTTTATTTTCTCAGTGAGGTAAGGTTTCTTAAGGAGAGCTATTGTTTTCCACTGTAATTAGTTCCTTTTTATTATGACAGACATTACCGTTACTACATTATGATTATTAGTCATAGTAGATAAACTTTGCTATCAGTTCATTATAAATTATGCTTCAGCTTCTAGCCACTGTGATGTTATATTCCGAATTATCTGAAGAGCACAAATCTAAGAGGAAGTGAAGGATGTGCCTGTCAATGTTTTTTCAGACATACCAGGTTCGCTGATGTTGTCAAACAGGACTTCAGCTCACCATGATGCCACCACCAGGTAGAAGCAACTTTCAATGTGTGCACCGCTTCTGACATGATGTCACATGGAATATGATGATGTAATATGGTGACAGGGACAGCAGGAATAATGTGAGGAAGTTCTTCTTGATCAAAAGAGGCAGCTCATATCAACTTCACACCTACTCTTCTTCTTAATAAAATTATTATACCAGAGCCCCAAGATGACTTTAGTGCACCTGACGGGCCACCCCAAAAAGACACTCAGTTCCCTAATGTGAGGCCACTTTTATTTCTAGGAATAATAATTAAAGGACAAACAAGAGATGACTGAGAAAATCCTGCCCCTTCTAGAAGGACTTGGATAATATTAATAGAAAACTCTCCCCATAGCTGAGAAACAATGTAGGAGAGAAGCATGATGTTTTCCGTTTTCATTCCCTTGGCTGAATTTACAGAAGAGCCCTTATTCCTAATCTCAGAGACTTAAGAAGCTAAAAAGGATTTCCCAAAAGTTGGAGCATGTTCCTAGCTGCCAAAAGCTTTTAAGAGTTGATTCTCAACATTTAAGCAAAGTGCTGTAGAAGCCTCATTCAGTCCCTTGGTGCTATTAGGGGACAACACACCAAAGTGTGCAGACCTCACCAGGAATAGGAACAAGGTACAGAGATATACCAGAGAGTCCAAAGTTTACCAGAAATTTCACCTTACTCTTCCCTGGGAAACAATCGTCTCTCTAGATCGCAGTGCTGTTGGCATTCTGGACTTCGCTGTCGAGGGCTGTCCTGTTCCTTATGGGATGTTTAACAACATCCATGGGCTCCATCCTCTCCATGCTAGTAGCATTTTCCCAGTTGGAACAACCAAAAATAAATGTCTCTAGACATTATCAAATGTATTCTAGAGTCGGGGGAATGTTAACCTTGCCCCCAACTGAGAACCTCTACTCTAAACTATGAGCTCTTTGAGTATAGGGAGCATATCTGATTCTTCTTTATAAACCAGCCTAGCCCCGGGAAAATGCCAGACATAGAGTAAATGTTCAATGAAGTTTGACTGCAATTATGCAAGAGCAAAAAAGTGAACACAGCTGCGGTTGGAAAGGACTTCTTTTGCTCTTCATCTGAAAGGAGCAAATGATGCTATTCAACCCTTCTGGACACTTTTATAGAAAAACCAATGTGAAAGATCTCACCTGTTTAAATTAGAACACCACTGCCTGTCCATGAAAAGTCGGCTCAATAAAGACAGAGTAGGGGGTGCCTGGACAGAAGGAAGGAAAAAATGCACATAGACAATTTAATAGTGGGGAAGTTAAAAAAAATCTTTGCCAAGTAATGAAATTATTAATTACAATTCATGTCAGTTTTTGCAACAGCCATGTGAATAGATGGACAGACTGTTGAGCAGTATTTCTGGAAGGAATTGTACATTTAAAAAATGAGGCATTGCTGGAGAGATATTGTGTGTGGGAGAATTTACAGGAGCATACACCCCTGTAAGTTCATGGGGTGTTAACAGGGAAGCCATGGCACCTTTAGGCCAGATGTAGCTTGCACATCAAAAGGGCATTGCATTCACCCATGTCATTGTCCTCTGAAAGATCAAACTCTCATTATGCGCCTGATGCAGTATCTTCTATTTGAGGCAGTTTACATATTTCTCTCTTTAAAAATAGAGGCAGCTACTTCCTTCTTTCCACAAATGCTCTTATCAATTTTGAATTACAGAGATCTATTTTGAGATGAACACATTGAACAAAACCTTCATCCGTGTGTGCGTGTGTCTGTGTATGTGTGTTTTTATTTCCCAACATGGCGGTAGGAGCTTATGCCCGCTATCTGCATAAGTCTTTTGTGTATTGCTAATGGAGTGCTGGAATTGTAGCAGCCCTGAGCAGGGAATACATGTGAGCAACAATATGCTGAGAGACCCCTCAGTGGAATCTAATCTGTTCCAGCTCATGCACTCCTCAGAAACTATTTAACTTTCATTAAACTGTGTTTGATATCAGCTAAATAGGATGCATACGGCTCCAATATAGCTCATATGGTCGCATTCATTCGATCACAGCAGTGCTTTTTTCTTATATTTCCCCCCACTTGTGTCAGTACCCAGTATAGCTGGGTAAATAGGAGACCTTTGAAGATGTAGTTAGTACTCAGATTTCTTTATTCTTTTGTGCTGGTTTCTTAGTGTTGAAACAGTGATTCATGTATGTCGCAGACAGCCTCCATTAATTTCATGTAATGTAGCTTTTATCTCGTAGCTGGGACAACTATCTTCAGCATTCTGTCGCTCTAGCATCCCCTGCTCTGGCCACAGCCCCCTTTGCATCTCCTAGTTTCCCTCCAGGTCTCCACCACTCTCCATAATTCCTCTTTCTTCATGGAAAATATGTTCATTTCCAGCCGCTGTATTTTTCTGGTTGTTGTAGCATAAGAACAAGTAAATAAACAGGTTATGATGAGAAGGAGAAAAAAAATGAGGGGTGAGATTTTCAGTCTGGATAAGCCTTTATATCCGAAGGAGAAAAAAAGAAAAGCTCCTGGGATGAAAACATGTATCCGGGCAGGAGAACAGTTTTGTACCCCCACTCTGCTACACACACACACACACACACACACACACACACACACACACACACACACGCACACACTCCATTCAAAGGACACTAATTTGATTATGAATACAGCACAGTAGGAGCATGCAGTTTCCCAGTTTCTGAGGAGGAAAGGGCTAGTGAATTTACAAATCTAGAGCTGTTAAAAAGTTTTAATGATCAAATATACATAAAACACACACACACAAAGTGGGACAAAGGACTGGGCCTATTACCAATATGATATCAGCTAAATAAACGTCATTACTTGCAAAACTTATTTTCTCTTTAATACTGAGAAAGTGTTCGGAATTTCACCTTTAAACAGATTAAGGGGACATGGATGTGATTTTTCTACGTTATCCTCACTGATATTTTTTATCATGTTTTATTAAGTCCAAAGGAATAATCACAATTTTTTAGATCACTTAAGAGAAACAACATGGGGTCCTTTGGTACAGGGAACCCAATTATTTCCGATATTATTTTGTGAACCTTTTTCATTTTATTAGTATACCAGAGGGTTTTCACATTCTCAAGAGAATCCAGCTATTATTGCTTTTTTGGAAGAAATGTCTCACTGGGACAATTAATTTATACATTAACACCAGTCACAGTTGTGCTGTATATTATTAAAACTATAAAGGGAAAAGGGCCACATTTAATCATTCGGTTCAGAAAGGGGTCATTTATACGTGCATGTGTATAGAGAATAAGCCACTCCATGAGTAGCCCTCACAACGTAAGAAGTCTGCAATGCCCTGTGCTGGTTATGCTCTCTCCAGAAACACTACTGGTTTACAGAAAAGAAAAATGAAGCTGAGAAAGGTGAATACATAGGCAGTCTTGGAGCCTGCCTATGTCTGTCTCCACTACACTTGAGGAATGTTATCCGTTTAACTTTGTTGATGAGCACATGTAATTAAGACGCTGTGCTTTAATGTTTGATGGTGGGACTTGAAAGGGTGATTTAAAAAATTATTTAGATAAGCATATTGACATTTTAGTATATATTATTAATCTTATTAATAGTATTAACAAAGGCTAATTGAAAATGCATCATCTATAATTATATTAGTCTTCATTTTAGTACATTTTTGTCAGAGTAAACTAGAAAGGAGTAATTAATGTGCCACTGTTATTTACCCCTGTTTGTATTAAAGCTGGTGTTACACAATGTTAGAGATGAATATAGCCTGATTTCACTGAATACCAAGGAGCAAGCATTCAGACGCAGTAAAATAAGCAGCTGTGTTTTCTTGTACCAGGAACCTAAAAATAAAAATTGACTTCAGGATTGCATGATAGGTGTGCAGGAGCTGGAGAGAGGTTTCTAGCCTCTGATCGTCCATGCGGCTACACTTTTGGCTGCCCTGCTTCCCCCCTCATTGGTGGGCTCAGGGCTCCATGACTGCTCATTATCTGGAGCCCCTGTATCACCTCAGTTTCAGGAGTAAATATAGAAAAGCATGCCCCAACGCATTGGATCCTTGGGGTCACTGATGCCAGTTTCACTGGGACAGAGCAAGGAAAATGATTTTACGTTTGTGGGGGATAAATCCAGGACCAGTGTTGAGCCTTCAAAACATGTTGGCTCTGTCTTTCCTGTGATAAGAGAAAACTCTAACAATGATCCAAGCAATATTGCCCTCAAAATCAGATTCCCAAAGTTAGTATTGACACTTCCAAGCCCTGTACCCTGACCCTGGTTCCCCTACACACACACACACACACACACACACACACACACACAATTACAAGACTACAAAATGAAATAGCTTCTCTAGCTTTCATGTACCAAAGGTGAAAAAAAAAAAAAAAAAAAAGAAACCCTAACAGAAAGCAAGCAGGGGAGAATTAAGTTAATGAGGAATTAATCACTTTAAAGTTTTCTCCCACCCTTGCTTTTATGATTCAGTCTTCCCGAGGTCAGCTACTTCCTGAGGCCAGCCCAGCACGGGGTGTGAAATGGAGGCACACAGGGATGGCGTTGAATGGCACATCTTTTAATCAGGTGGAGCCAAGACAGCGATGGCTGGTATTCCAAAGCTGGGCTCTGGGCTTTCTCCTGAGCTCTGATAAAAAGCGTGGCATATTGGTTGCATTGGCTGCCAAGTGCTATGTCCGTGCCCTCTCCGCAGTGGCCAACCACAAACATGCTAGCTAGAAGCTCTCAGGGGGCCCCGTGTGTGCTGTTCCTACACGGCTAACATATGTATCGACACCTGAAAGCTACAGCCTGCCACGTCTCCAGGACCTCGCTCGCCTACCTTTGCTCCTTGGTCACCAAGGGTTAATTTTCTAATGGCTGCCTTGCTGCTGAAGCTGGCCAAGTTTTTCATCGCCTGCAGAGCACCACAAGCTGTGATTTGGAGCCAGAAAACACCATTAATTTTCTAAATAGGAAGGATCACATATGTAAACTGTCTGGTGCTGTAACGAGTCAGGCAGGTAGAAGATGAAGGAGGAGGAAGTGAATTTTTCTAGACACACAGGCCAAACAGCCCAGGCCAATGGGCAGCATACTGTGTAAAACTTTGGGGGGTGGGGTGGCAGGGGTGGGAGGGGGGCCAAGGAATTTCCTTCCCATCTTTAAGACAGTTTCAATACCAGCCTTCAATATTTCTACGAAAGGTCAGGTTGGTAATTTATTGGGCAATGTTGGGAGTTTGCACATGAGACTTCACAATAAACTTATTTGTAAATGGAAGGAAGGATTAAGTAAAGTGTAGCCTCTCAGAGACTACATAAAAGCTCATGAGTACAAAACAGTTGTGGTTAACACACCCAGGGTTTTCAAGAGACACAGAATCAAAAATTCCCCTGATGGAAATTACTTAGGCAGCAACTTAGGCAGAACATCTAGAACCTAGATGTTCTAGACACTTGAGAAATGCATTTTTGCCGATTTTGCAAACCTATAAAAAATAATCTATGGAATAAAAATCTACCAAAAAAAGCAAAATCCTCCATTCAGAATTTAGCATGGATGTATGCATGTGTGTGTGTGTGTGTGTGTGTGTGTGTGTGTGAGAGAGAGAGAGAGAGAGAGAGAGACAGAGAGGAGGAGTAGGGGAGACAGAGAGAAAGAGGGAGAAATGGAGGCATAAAAAACGGTGATAAAAATGACGTCCTGAGTTTTAAAAAATATTTTATCTCCAGTATATACATCTCTTTCTGGAGTAACTATTACTGTTATGTGAGATGCCAGAACAGTGCCAGAGGTGAAAGTGCATGATAGGCCTAATAGAACATGCAAACGTCTTTCTGCCTTATGCTGGCTCTAGAATACCAGCACAGAACTGCCCATCTCCCCATCTTGCCCTGTTTCTGGGATCTTCTTTCTAACTTCTGCCATTCTGGTTCCAACCCACAACTCTTTAAAAAATCTTTAGCTAACATCAATTTATCCATTCTCTGTCTTTTATTGCTCTTTGGACAAAAATAAAAATGCCAAGATTTGTGCAATATAAATAAATTTGGGGCAGCTTTTTTGCTGCATTGTAGATATAGGGTTGAATGTTGATCCTGGATTCAGGCCCTAGTAAAGTACTGCTTAGGTATAGAGAATTCAATGCCTCAGAGTGTTCCCTGAGACAAGTAAAAGGGACTCATACAAATAAATGATGGTAGGCTTCTGCAGTCCAAAAGTGTATATGAAACCCCAGTATTAGAGAAGAGTGACTTGAAGACTCTGGCTGTGGGTGAAGGAAGACTCATAGAAAGGGCTATGTAACCTCATGTATATTTATTTGAAAAACAGGTAAGATATTTCAAGTTATTGGAGAAAAATGGCCCCAAGGAAAACATGTACACTTTCAGGGTACATTAATTTCCTAGGGCTGCTGTGATAAAGTACCACAACTGACTGGCTTTGGCAACAGAAATATACTGTCTCACTGTTCTGGAGGCTGCAAGTCCAAGGTCAAAGTATCAGAAGGGTTGGTTCCTGCCGAAGGCTGTGAGGAAAGGATCTGTTTCAAACCTCTCTCCTTGGCTTGTAGATGGCCTTCTTCTCCTGTTCCTTCACACCATCTTTCCTCTGTACAAATCTGTCTCTGTGCCCTAATTTCCCCTTTTTATAAGGGTACCAGCCATATTAGATGACGCATCCCTTAATAGATTCATCTTAACTAATTATATCTTCAATACCCCTATTTCCAAATTAGGACACATTCTGAGGTACTGAGAGTTGAGACTTTAAAGTATCAATTGGGGCAGAAGATGGGGGATGTTGGTGGAGGGAGACATCATGTAACCAATAACACAGGGTGAGAGGAAGAACTTTAAGAGTTGAGCAATAGAAAATTTTCATAATACTGACTCAAGGCATATCTGCAGTAATGTTAAATTGTATATGCTTGCCACTTTAGAGACTTCTGGGCATTTTTGCTCCCAATAATTTCTTTCAGATAACTCTATCTTGACCATCCTCAAGAGCTGCATTATTCACACTGTCCTGGTGGAAAAACTGAGACTTTGAGAAGTTAAATTGTCACTAAATGTCCCACAACTGCAGACCTAAGACTCTCATTTAAGACTTCTGTCTCCTACCCTAGTATTTTGCCCACTAATCCACACTGCCTGCTTCACGCTACTCACTAAAACACTTCACCACCAGCAATACAGCTTGAGTTCTTCCATTAAGTCACCAAATAAAGTGATCAGCCTAATTCTCTCATTTCTTTCCCATAGTTCCTCCAAGGAGTTTGACGTGGGGTGGGACTTATCTCCCAGTATAATTGTTATTTTTCCAAATAAATCTTATAGAGTTCCATTCTGAATGAAGTACAATACTAGAGCTAAACCCACGAAACTCTATTTCATGGTTTTACTTGCATATATATGAGTCCCACTCTGGAATCCATGCTGACACCAGGACCAAGCAAATGACTCCAGAATTGGCCCAAAGTAGACCCAAGCTGGGTGTTGATATTTGCAATAGCCAAGCTGGATGCTGAGCAGCCATCATTTTTCAGCTAATTTTCTCCTTTCCCCTCCTCCCTTGCTCCAGGTAGAGCATTATTCATTAAGAGTGCTGCAGAGCTCAGTAGAGCTCATTCTCGCTGAGATAGCCTCTATGATCTTCTGAAGCCTTTAAAAGGGAATGAGCCTTGGCCTCCTTTTTATGGGCTACATTATGACCTGGCTTCAAAGTGTGAAAAGAGGTTCCAAGATTCCCTTTGTGCGGTGGAGTCTCTTAATTGCACTTTTAAACACAGTGTAATTTTTGTAATTAACATTATGGTTTCAGAGGGCAGAGAAGCCCGCACCGTGCTAATTACAAACCCACGTCTTCAGAGTTGCGGAATTTCCAAGGCCTCTGATATTGGGGCGGAATACAGTTTTTATGAAGGATTTCAAAGATCCTCTGTGGGCTGTGTTCTGAGTCATCATTAGCATTTGATAACATAAAGAAATTTTACAACATGTGACAGATTTTCTATGTGAAGATTTTACCTGATAACCGGAAAATTTGCATAAAGAGTTTCATTAGGTCTCCTCTCACATTACTGAAAGAGTAAGAAGTATAGTGCACTCTTTCCCTAAGATTGTTCTTAGGAGCCAAGGAATTGGTGCTTTAGAATAAAATTTACAGTATATTATGAAGTGAAGTTGTAATAATCTTCAATGATGTTGAAAATCAGAGGATACGTGGCTTTTAAGCAGAGGGAGAGAATATGTATCAGAATTACTGAGTAACTGAAAACCTTGCAGGAGAGGTATATTGTACTATTCTGTGCCATATAAAAGACATAGTCCTGCTAGGCTGCAGAGTCAAGGTGAGAGCTTCATATATATATAACACCAAGCGGCAATAATGTGTAATTTTTTCACTCTGTGAAGAGTCTGTTCACTGAGGAAAATTATCTTCCTCTTATTCCAGAGGCAAGTTTATCTTTCCTTTACTTTTCAATCCAAGCCATCAACTGAGTAGTGTGTACACATGTGTGTAAAGATTCTCTCATGTGCACACACACGGGTGCACACACTCACATATACACACACTTCCAAAGCTGCAGTGTGCATTCTTTGCAGGGTGATCACAGCTTCTGCAAAGACGGACTGGCCTTTCTTAGGCTGATAATGCCAGAAATTGTACTGTGAGGTAGGAATTGAGTCCCAAGGCCATCCATTTGCTGAAATCCTTTCACTGAGCATGGATCAATTAAGCCAGTAATAGTGATAATTTGGGGAAAGCTTTCTGTCATGATGGGAACAAGAATTCATCATTATTCCATGCTGTCTTATTATTTCAACACCATACATATGCCGTTGGATGTATAGCAGTAGCTTGCGGCATTATCTCAGTGGGACGCATTTCCCTTCATGAGAGAGTCTTTTCCTTGGCGATTATGCAGATAATGCATAGCTTTGTAATGACATCACAAATAGAATCCAAAGTCCTAAGAAACAATTAGGGAAGTATATCAATACTTCCTTGTAATCATAACATCATCTGACTTCCAGTGGGATGCCAAGCTGGCTCCCCAAGTTCCATAATCACGTAGAAGCATTAATGGCTGCTTCACAATCCATCTTGGAGCCTCACAAATCCTGGCAGTGGAGACAAATTAATATGCATTTTAGCCCATTGTCAACAATAGAAATCACACTGGGGTTTTGATCACAGAACCTAGGGTGAGATCCAGGCAAATTAATCTACGCTGAAAAAAGCTGGACCCTCTCTATACTGACCTCAGGCAAAATGAAGACTGGACTAAAAAAATACAAAAGCCAATATTCCCTGAAAGTTAAACACCAACGAATCCTTGCAGACAATTGTGACATTTTCCGTTTGCAAAACTATTTCTGCGAGTGGGCTTTTAATTTTTTTCCTTGAGTTATTTTTCCCATGCAATATTTCCTTCCAGCCTAGCTTAATTCTCCTTAAAAATAAACATCCTTTTTTTTTCATGGGGGAAAAGGACCACTTTCTCTAATTGGTTTAAGGCATGTCAGTCACCTCAGCCTGTAAGGGATGCAAAACCATACTCTAAGTGGACTTTTAAAACCACATGGTAGGTTTTACAAGTTCTCTTCTCTCCTGCTGAGGGGAAAGCGGTATGAGGAGGATTCAATCATAGCTCTGGATTCCTTTTCCAATATTAGGAAAGGAACAAAACTCTTCTCTCCCAACTCTTGTAGCTCCCAACAAACAGAAATGGAAATTTTAGATAAATGATCAAACTTACCTAGTATATAGCTTTTATTTTTACAAAATATTTGCTTCCAGCAGAGTGTATCTTAATTCACAAATGCAGAAATCTGTCATTAAGATCTGACCCAGCTGCATGGCATTGTCAAATGCAATAACGTATCTTTTAATAGTTTTATATCAAGTAAGGATATAACATATCATTAGTTTAAATGTATTTGCAAGCAATTACCCCCACCAGGATATTTGAGAATGCTCATGCAAAATTGATGAAATTCTGACATGCCTAAACATTGTTCATTTAGCTCAATTCCTTATGTATAGAAAAAATAGAATAAATAATTCTGCTGCCATTTGCAAACCACTGTTCAGCATTTTTATTCCACTCAGGGCTTCAGTGCTGCCTTTAAAGTACAGCCTTTGGTGATCATTTGAAAAAAAAAATAGTTTCATATATGTTTAATTTTAAATAATGGACTAGATTTTTCATTCTCCTTATTATTGTTCAATGTAGTAATTTAAATATGGAGTAGATTTACTGCATGTCAGCTGCCTTTCTTTTACAAAATGGGATAAATTATTAAATGAGTAGAGGTTGTTTGACAACCAGTTTTCCAGTACTACACAAAAGAAAGACCTTTGCCATTCAGCTGTCTTCTAAAAAGAATAAAGTATAAATCAATTAAGTCACTATGCTGTGGTTCAGAAATGCCATGCTATGGCACAGTTTTCCTTTGCCTCTCAGGTGACTTTCAGATAGTGTCACCCTGACATTTGCATGGACAGAATGATAGCTATGTTGAGATCCTCCAGCGTCTTTCCTGGGTTTCTAAAACCTTCTTTGGCTGAACGAAGCATGCCCTACCAAAACATGAGAGACAAACAACAGCCAACAGGTTCCTTTCTGATTTTTTTTTACTGTACTGGTGAATGTTATATACTAATGATTGATTAATGTTTTTTCTGCTTTTGGATTTTGCATGCAATCTTTAATATGTTCACTGTGCCAAAGTAGAGAAATCTTGTGATGAACATCTCATCACCCTTTATGCAAGCCAGGTGAGAAATTGCATTTCAATGCCTTTCTATGCTATTCCTCAATACCATATTAGCATCTGTGTAATTAATAATACTTCGAGCTCTGTCAAAATGAAATCACTTTTATTCTTTCCCCAAAGAGTATCATTTATTAACTATGTATGATCCCCAAATACATTTTTCTTTACTAATGTCACTAGTAACTATACCTTTTGAAATATTAATCCATCTATCCAAAGCCATAAAGACTAGTCAAATTATTTTAAACAAATCTAATCACTGTGAAAAACAGTTAAACTGATTATTTGGAGAGTCATGTGATAGGTGCTTTTGGAAGACTATTTCTGAGTGGAGCACTGCTGCAGGGCATGCAAAAGGAAGGACAGTAAAACAAATAGATAAAAGGAAAGGTAAGGTGTCTTCTCTGAAGAAAATTCGAGTCTAGTTGAAGAGAGAAGACTGGTTGGTTCATATAACAATTATCGAGGCACGAAACTATATATAATTGAGCTAAGTGTCAGAATATAATTGTGGTAGAATGTTAGAGTAAGGAGACATCAATAAAAGCTGGAAGTCTGCATTTAGAAAAGCTTCATGGATGATGGGTCTCATACAATGAGTAAGATTTAGATGGATGGAAAGAGGGAGCAGATTCTAGGTGAGATGGTCAAAATTCTTTGAATTACGAAACATGTTTTTAAAATTTTTAAACAAAAGCATTTCTGGGAAGTGATAGGAAATTGAAATAAGTGTATTGGATAGTATCTATTTTGGGAGAACCCCAAAAAACATTAAGAAGGAAGCAGCACTTAAATGGGTTACATGAAGGGATACTCAGCCACTAACTCTTCTACAGCAATGAACTTCCAGACATGAAGCATCAGTCTAGGGTGTTGGCAGAAAGGCTAAATGGTGGGAAAAAGGGAAGCAGTCCAGTTATTGGACTGTTACAGTAATCCAAGGACAAGTTGATAAATTCCTAGGATATAATGGGGAAGTGGGAATGGAGAGGTTTCCTGGGCTGCTGATTAGCCAATAGAACACAGAGACTGACGGCTAAAGAGGCATCAAAATGTACTGGGAGGTACTGAATCAGGGTATGTGAGAAATTAATTAATGATGCTGCCCACAGGCAGATTGATAAAAGGACTGTGTTTCCTAAAAGACGTATCAGCAGAGGGAAGGAAAAAGAACAATAATTATTTTAACTTTTCGGCTACTTATTTTGTCACCATACAACTTGGCAATCATGCTGCTACACTCATTCTCACCCATAGCTAATGCTACAAAACATTCACTTTCACATCATTCTTCCTTGCTTAACTGCATAGAGACTCAGAATCCTTTTCACCATTGATTTCAGGGAAGCTATTACAAATTAATCAGAGTTAGTATACAAACACACACACACACACACACACACACACACACCCCACTCTGTCCCTAATTTATAAAAACAATAGAGGTACATATTAATGTAATATAATATTTAGAAAAAGATGAATGAAAAAATCTCAGAAAAACCATTCACATTTGCACATACACCACATGCACACACACACTTTTTACCAACAAGGGTCTCCATAGACCCAGAATGCTTAAAGATTGGGGAAAATTCTTTAGTTAATTCAAGCCCATGAATGATATGCTGGGATACTTAATGACAAAGTCTATCAGAAAATGGTGACTGAAAGACAAATCTTCCACCATCATTTCCCAGTAAAAATATAATTAGGAAAAAATGCAGATATATTTCCAGGTGGCCCCAAGAAGCAAGCAGCTGGAGAAAGATCTAAAGCCAGAGAGAAAAAGGTGAGTGGGGAAAATAGCGGGAGAAAGCTTCAGTATTTGTCTTCAGGAGAGGAGACTACGAGGTAACTTAATAATAGCTTTCAAGAGTTGGAAGAGTTATTCTGCAGGGAATGCTGACCAGCTGTTTTCCGTCTTTATTGAGGGCAGAATAAAAGGAGATGCACTAAACTGCAGGAGGAAGGATTTAATTTAGACATAGAAGAAGTGGCTTGATAATAAATGTTATTAGATGTTGGAATCAGTGTTAGAGGTAGCCCTGTTCTGTGGAGGGCTTGCAAGCAGGATTCACACACTGACCCTCAGGCCCAGCTGAGGGTGGGTACTGCTTGAAAGCAGTAGTTTAGGCCCACTGAACTCCCCTGTTCTCTTCCAGCTCCAGTATCTAAGATTTACCCCATCCACCCAGGCCTACCAGGTCAGTTAGAGCCATTCCAAGGAACGAAGAGAAAGTGGGCTATTCCCCAGCATGCAAACTTTCAACCATGTTTAACAAGGTGCCAGGAAAAACAAGCAGCTTGACCATAGATTCCCAAGCCTCCTGCCTTGTTAAATGCAGTTTATGGTTTACACAAAACTGCTCTGTCTTAATTTGCTTCTTTCCTATAAATGAAATGGGGTACATTTAATATTCCTATGGGGCTGATGCATTAGCCAAGTTCATGCTGCATATGGATTTAAAAGAAAATGGGTTCTTTTTTTTTTGCCAATCAGGGGTACCCATATTGAGAATCCCTAAAGAGAGAGAAGGTGGAACCCTAGGCCCTCATAAATGATAGATGCTAATATTACTGACATACATCTAATCTGTGTTTTTCCCCTCCTGTGCTATTGTTGTTGTTGTTATTTCTGTTGTTGTTGTTGCCCTTCCTTATAAAAATAGATGGATGCATTATAAAAATAGATGCATTAATGGGACATCAAATTTGTAAATATGTATTACTTTTTACCCTGTTTTTCCCTACCTAGTCAAAGTTGGTGAAAGTTTATAATAATATTTAAAGGTAAGATACTAAAAGATTCTGGTATTCCTCAATCTCATACCTTGCACTTACTGATACTTAATAAATATATGTTAAATAAATGACCAGGAGTTCTCTTTTTCATTCCCACACAGTCCATATGAAAGCTCTCCACATGGAAAAGCCCCTCAATAACTACTTTGCCCTCCTTGTAAAATGAGTCATCAGTCCTGCCAACATCTGAACTATTTCCCTCTCCCCAGTGAAGAATCAGATGTCCACAAGGGCGGAGGGAACACCCCACATGTGCTGTGCAGAGCTGGACATGTCCTTCACTCCCCTTGAATGCTGATGTGCTTTGTAGACAGTAACTGGGCCCTCTTCTTCTCCATATTCCTGAGATTGTTTTACATAATGCTTTGGGCATAAGGTACTCCACAAGTATCTGCCAAAAACTAAACAGAATACACAGAACAAAAGGAATGAGACATAGTAATCAAAGCCATGGACTCTGGAACTAGACTGCCTTGATTCAGATTCCAGCCCTGCCATTTACTGATTGTGTGGCTTTAGGCAAAATAGTTGTAACCTCTTCGTGTCTCATTTCTTCATCTGTTAAATGGGGATTATGACAGTGCCTACTTCATTGGGTTGCTGTAAAAATTAACTACGTTAATATCTTTGAAGCACTAGAACAGCGTCTGACAGGTAGTAAGCACCAAATAAATGACACATAAAAAGACACTGGGCTACTCGGGAAGCTGAGGCATGAGAATCTCTTGAACCTGGGAGGCAGAGGTTGCAGTGAGCCGAGATCACACCACTGCACTCCAGCCTGGGTAACAGAGCAAGACTGTGTCTCAAAAAAAAAAAAAAAAAAAAAAAAAAAAGAAAAGAAAAGAGAAGAAAAGAAAAGACACTGGGCCTCTGAATATGCTTCCTGGTATTGTAGCCCAGATCTACTAGCTGGTTAAAGCGTTTGGCAGCTCTGCTTAACATTACTGGTCTCCAAACCACCAGAAAGACAATGAGCATAATGACAGTAAACTCCATGCAGGGTCATAAATAGTGTGAAAGCTTTGGAAGCTGACACTGGAAACAAGGACAGAAAGGAAAACAATGGCTTCGTTGAATAAAATTGAAAAGATGAGCCAAAATGATCAACCCAACCCTATCATTACTGAATGCCTACAGATCTACTTGAAATTAGAGTCAGCATCTTCCATTTCCCCAATGAGAGGGACATGTTATTACTGTTCATTGGCACTGATTTCAGTGGGACACCTATGTGGCAGGTCCAAAAGCAACCACAGCACCAGCTCTTAGATCTGGTTTTGAGATGTACATTGCAGGAATGAAAATTAAATGGAACATGGACTTCCATTTATTCTTCTGGTACAGACATGGTCCTCTTTCTCACTGAGCTTAAAACCTCTCCTTGTGTGACTCAGCATTAAAGGTAGCGTAGCCCTACAAATCCACTGGATTGGAATAGAGAGGGAATAAAACAAAGGGTTCAAATCTTTGCTTCTAGATCCATGAAGCAACATGGTAGCTGTTCTCAGACACCAAATACAAACAGGTCTAATTCCAAAGAATAATAACATGTAGACTTTCTGAATCTTGAAGGCAGGAATTTTTGCTCCATTTTGAATTATTGCCTGTTTATGAAAGAATATTTATCTTGCAATGGAAATATATTTTTCAGACAATATGTTGAAGTACATTCAACCTATGTTGTATTCCTGCTATATGCTATGCATAGTGTTAGGTTTGTATGGAACTCACAAATATAATATGCAGGTCCAGTCTTCAAAACATGAATAAGCAAGTTGGGAAAGCAATACTTATACAAATAAAAATAATAAAATAATCTAAAATAGTTTATGGTAATAAAATGTCAAATTTTGTGGTTCAGGAATAAAGAAACTTTTAGAGAGTTGAGTTCCACATGGGCCAGAATGGTAAAAGGAGAAATAGTAGTCACCAGGTGTGAAGGGGCCTTTAAGGAATGGCTGATGTGTGGACTGGAAAATGGAAAAAGTGTAAGCAAAATGCTCAGCGATGAAAGTGATAATGGTGTACGAGAGAAACAGATCTGATCTCTTCTACTTCTGACCAATCAACTCTGAGGTCTTCCCCTTAGAAAATCCCTGCTAACCCAAAAGCTTCCAGGACTTTGAAGCCCCAAGAGGGTAAGTTCGAACAGACAGACAAGTTTTTTCAAGGATAGAGAAAACATCTACTGACCTCAAGCTTCCATATCAGAGGCTTCTCAGGAAAGAAAGCACAAAAAGGGTCAACTAACCAGTCCTGATTGTACAAACTCTCTGAACTATGCCTTAAAGTATTGCTTCAAGATAAAAGGTTAAATGAGGTTTGAGTGCAGTGTAATAAACCTTCACTGTTCATAAAGCTCTGAGTGATAAATGTATGTATGGTTACTGTATAAAAATATTGGGGTCAAATGCCAAAGATCTCTGAGGCTAAGGGTTTTTTTTTTCTTTTGCATGGACAGGTGAAGGGCCCCAAATCATCAAATATCAAGAAAATGGCAGCTTGTCAGTCAAAGGCACAATCTGCTCCAGCTCACCAGAGAAGCCCATTCCCAAACTTCACTCAGCCAGACATTATAAGCATTCTAGATGTGATATACAGCACACTATGGCATGTAATTTGTTTGGTTCCAAGAGACTAAGACAAGGGTTTGGAAGGTTCACTGCATTATAAAAGAGATATGCCCGGCTGCAGGTTTTCACATTTGTAAATAAAAAAATACCCTATTCCTCAATAACAGAACATCCAAGAGACAGGCATGAGTTGGTATCCATGGAATAACTAAGAAGATTTCAACCACTGCATTATATACCAGTCTCCACCAGTAAAACAAGGAGGTACTGCCACTGAGTCCCATAGGGAAAGGCAAGGCTCTGCTTATGAGTAACTTTGGCCTATGGCATAATTTGTGCCATATGTTTTTAAACAGTAAAACTTGGACTCCTGCAGCAGTGAAGGAGTTTGTGTAAAAGTATCATGGGACTCATCATTTCTGCACAATGAAGAACCCATTTTTACTTCAGGCTCAACCTAGAATTTGTCCTGCTAGTAAAAAAAAACAAAAAACAAACAAAAACAAAACAAAAAACAACACCTTGAATCATACAAACCATCTCCTTCTTTGTACCATGGGGCTGAGCACAGTAGCGAAGTTTAAGGAAACAAAAACCTATGGATACAAGGGAAAAGGAAAAGAGAGTACCTTGAAGTAATTAACTGCATGGAATTTGTAGAACATATTTAATAAAAGCAAAGGCCTTTTAAGAAAATCTGCTGACATGGACTTTTATTTGAAATCAAAATTTCGAGTCATTGCTGTTTTAGAGATTAAGAATTCCTCACAGTTAGCAATAAGGGTTTTACTAAGAGGAAGTGAAAAATCAGCTTCCACTTTTGAGCAACTATTATGGACTAGACATTGGGTCAAGCAGTTCACAAACACCATGCACATTTAGTCTTCACAGCAGCCTATGAGTATCTTACCTTATTTCTCAACTAGGGAAACAGGCCCAAAGAGATTTAATATCTTGTCCAAGTTAGACAGTTTGTAAGCATCTATAGTGGAATTCTAGAGAACATTGTCTGACTCCAAAGCCCATGTTCCTAGTCACAATTTACATCACTTCAACAGAGGGGGTGTATTAGTAGCTGTTTACTATAATCAACCCCACCAGCCTGGCACGGAATACATAGCATGAGAAGAACCCAAATGATGAAAGAGGAGAAATCTGAACCATAGTGGAAAAAAGAGAAAATCCCTTCGCTTCCACTGGCTACAGTTTCCGTTAAACCCTTGGAGATAGATTTGGAAATAAATATCATAATGCTGTATATTGTTTATAGTTTGCTGTATGGATTTATTGTTACATTTACTATATAGTAAACCAAATATAGTTCGAGGTTTCTAAATTTTTTATTTTATTGTTTTTATAAGGCCCCCAAAACATCTTAGATATTGTTACAGAGAAATGCCTATAAAAGTGGACCCCAACTGGCTATTTATAATCAAGATGCAGGGCCTAAAGTGAGACGGTCAGGTAAACAGCACACTTTATAGTTTGTTTCACACTTTGGGACTTATTTCTGGCCATGAGGAGCTGGGCACAAAATATGATTAATTAATTTTTGCCTACCTATTTACAACATCATGAAGACATTCTCCTATGTTATCTTTAAAAAGTGTTACCTTTCACATTTAAGTCCTTTCATTTTTTTTCCTAACAGATACTCAGTGATTCAGCACTTTTATTAAAGAGAAAATTATTTTCTCCATTGCACTGTGGTGGCACCTTTGTGTTATAATACATAAAATCATAACATAAAAACTTTCATGGTGGTGTGCATGTGTAACCCCAGCTACTCAGTGAGCTGAGGTGGCAGGATCACTTGATCCTGGGAGACAGAGGTTGCAGTGAGCCTAGATCTTGCCACTGCACGCCAGCCAGGGAAACAGAGTGAGACTCTGTCTCAAAAACAAACAAAAAACAAACAAAACTTTTGATATATTATAGTTTAAATCTTCCAAACTCCTTCATGATTATTTTGGCTATTCTTTCCATGTCCATGTCTATATAAATTTTAGATTCATTTTATCAATTTCCTTTTAAAAAATCTGCTGGGAATTTTATCAGAATGGAACTGAATCCATAGGTTAATTTGGAAAGAACTGACATATTTACAATGTTGAGCCTGCCATTCCAAGAACATGATAGGTTTTATTTAATTTCTCCATAATATTTTAGAGTATTCTTTATAGAAGTCTTAACAAATCTTTCATGAGATTTATTTCTAAGTAATTGGTCATCTGATGCTGTATTAAGTGGCATCATTCTTTCTTTACATTTTAATTTCTAATAGTTTGTTAACATTTTCTGGGGACTTGGCAATTCTGGGTCTTCCACCAAGACATACAAGAAAACCTTAACCTCGGAGATCTTTGGCACCTGACCCCCAACATTTTTAAAAATAACCTTGCACACATTTATCACTCAGAACTTTATGAACTGTGAAGGTTTGTTACATGGCACATAAAACCCAGTTGATTTTTACTACATTCACTTATTAATTTTAATAAGTTGTCTTCAGTTCTTTCGGATTTTCTACATACAAAATCATGTCACCTGTGAATAATGGAAGTTTTACTTCTTCTTTTTAAATTATTTATGCCTTTTCTTTTTTGCCTTGTTGTGCTGGTTAGGACCTCTAGTACAATGTCAGCTAGAACTGGCAAGAGCAGATCTTGTCTCCACAATCTCAGGGAAAATATTGCAATATTTTACCATTAAGTGTGAAGACTGTTGTAGATGTTTTGCAGATACTCTTTAGTAGATTAATGAAATGTTTTATTATCATGAATGGCTGCTGGATTTTTTCTAATCCTATCTTTTCAGTTATTAAAGTGATTATCAGATTTTTCTTATGGGTTCTTTTTTGTTTTTATTTCAGTGGGTTTTGGGAAACAAGTGGTTTTTGTTACATGAATGAATTGTAGAGTGGTGAAGCCTGGGATTTCAGTGCATTCCTGAGTAATGTACATTGTACTTACTATGTCATTTTTTTTATCCCTCCCATCTTCCCACCATCCCCACTTCTGAGTCTCTAATGTCCATTATACCACTCTGCATGTCTTTCCATACCCACAGCTTAGCTCCCATTTATAAGTGAGAACATACGGTATTTGGTTTTCCATTTCTGAGTTACTTCACTTAGAATAATGGCCTCCAGCTCCATTCAAGTTGCTGCAAAAGACATTTCATTCTGTTTTTGGCTGAGTAGTGTTCCATGGTGTAAATATAAGACATTTTCTTTATCCATTCATCAACATATGGGCACTTAGGTTGGTTCCATATCTTCACAACTGTGAATTGTGCTGTGATATACATATGCATGCAGAAGTATTTTTGACAGAATGACTTATTTTCCTTAGAGTAGATATCCAGTAGTGGGATTGTTGGATCAAATGATAGATCTACTTTTACTTCTTTGAGAAATCTCCATATTGTTTTCCGTAAAGGTTGTACAAATTTATTTATTTTTATTTTTTATTTTTTGAGACAGAGTCTCACTCTGTCACCCAGGCTGGAGTGCAGTGGTACGATTTCAGCTCACTGCAACCTCCACCTCCTGGGTTCAAGCGATTCTTCTGCCTCAGCCTCCTGAGTAGCTGGGATTACAGGTGTGCACCCCACACCCAGCTAATTTTTGTATTTTTTAGTACTGACAGGGTTGTGCCATGTTGGCCACGCTGGTCTTGAACTCCTGACCTCAAGTGATCCGCCTGCCTCGGTCTCCCAAAGTGCTGGGATTACAGGCGTGAGCCACCCTGCCTGGCCAGGTTGTACTAATTTATATTCCCACCAGCAGTGTATAAGCATTCCCTTTCACCAGATCCATGCCAACATCTATTGTTTTTTAATTTTTTTTAGTGATGGCCATTCTGGCTGGAGTAAGGTGGTATCTCACTGTGGTTTTAATTGGCATTTTCCTGAATTTCTTTCAATGCAGTGACTTACACTGATTTTTTCAACTGTTAAACCAACATTTCTTTCTTGAGATGTAGAGCAAAGTTAGTCATGATGTATTTATCTTTTTATATATTATTAAAATTGGTAATATTTTATTTAGGAATTTTGCATCAATGTCTAAGAGAGAAATTGGCTTGTAATTCTGTTATCAAATTTAGGTTAGCATCATAGACTAAGTTGGAAAATATCCCATTTTTTCTATTCTTCCAAATAATTGATTTAAGATTGATTTATATCTTCTTTAAGCAATTGCTAAACTTTGCCCAAAAGCCATTTGAAACTGGATCTTTGTGAGACTATTTTCAATAACAGATCCCATTTTTGCAATAGATCTAATGTTTTTCATATTTTTTATTTCTTCTTGTGTCAGTTTTGGTAACTTGATAATTGCATTGTTCAAGTAAAGTTTACAGTTTGTCTAAATTGTAAAAATACTTTGGCATAAAGCCACTTTCCTTGGGTACATGGAGTTCAGTGACTCTTGTCTGGCTGCTGAAGCATGTGGAGTTCTGGGGACCAAGCCAACCCACAAACCTGCATCCTGAAGCCAAGTACCACCAAAAACTGCAACCTAAGACAAAGTTGCCTTGGGTGAGCTGTAGGCCAATGAACCAAATGAATGTTTAATGTGTTTTTGTGGTTGTTGCGCAGTAAATCACCAATGCATAATTTATGTCCCTGTTAATTAATCCTCTTTTCTGATTGGTCTAATCCTCTGTTAAACTGAATCCTGGGGTTGATAATTTTGGAAACTGTATTTATCAGTTCTTAGTTTTTATTTGTTAATTTAAAAAATATTCCACTTCTCCAACAAAAATCTCTGTCATATCATCTATCTTCTTAACTATAGTAATCATAGATTTTATACAGCCTTGTCTAATAATTGCAATACCTAGAGTATCTGTAGGTCTGTTTATATTATCTGTTTCATAGTGTTTTTATTGAGATATAGTTGGTATACATTACACCTATTTAAAGGATAATGTTTAATAAGTTTTGACATCTATATACCCCTGAAAAAAACCATTGTCATAACCAGCCTAATGAATTTACACATCACCTACAGAAGTTTCTTCATTCCCTTTTGTAATTCTTCCCTGCTTCCCCTACCCATACTGGCACCCACCCCCAGAAATCATTCATCTAATTTCTATCATTACAGATTAGTTCGCATCTGTAAGAATAATATATATGTGTATATATAAAATATGTTTGTATACATATATATATAGCATATACACATATATACACATATATACATATATACATACATACACACATATGTTATATATATTAATTATGCTATGGCAAAGAAGCCAGACTATATATATAAATTTACCATAGCATAATTATTCTGAGTTTCATCCGTTTTATGGCATGCATCGAGTTCATTCCTTATTGACACATTATATGGGTATACCATAATAGTTTATTCACTCACCTACTGATTGATATTTCATTCTAACAATAGTGTCTTCCAAAGGGCAGGGGTCTTTTCTTGTTGTGATTTTCATAAAGTCTAATTTACCAGTTTGTCTTTTATGTGTCATGCTTTTGGCATTCAATCTAAGAATACCAAATGCTTTTGGTATTCTGTCTATGAAATCCTTTCTAAATTAAGGTCACAAATGTTTTCCTCTACATTTTCTTCTAGATGTTTTATAGTTTTAAGTTTTACATTACCTATTTGGAGTTAATATTTGTATACATTTTGGTGTATGGATCAAAGCTCTTTTTGTTTCCCTGCATATGGATATGACAGAACATTTGATTGTCCTTTTTCATAAAATATCCTGAATACCTTTATCAAAAACTAGTTGCCTGTATGTAGGTAGGTCTATTTCTTGACTCTTCATTCTATGCCACTGATCTTTTTGTCTGTCTCTACACCAGCGATCAGCAAATGATGGCCACAGGTGAAGTCTGGCCTACTGTCTGTTTATGTACAGTCTGTAGGCTAAGAATGGTTTTTACATTGCAAAATGGTTGGAAGAAAACTAATCAAAAGAATACTTTTTTTTATTATTATACTTTAAGTTCTAGGGTACATGTGCACAACGTGCAGGTTTGTTACATATGTATACATGTGCCATGTTGGTGTGCTGCAGCCATTAACTCATCATTTACATTAGGTATATTTCCTAATGCTATCCCTCCCCACTCCCCTCACCACAAAACAGGCCCCGGTGTGTGATGTTCCCCTTCCTGTGTTCAAGTGTTCTCATTGTTCAATTCCCACCTATGAGTGAGAACATGTGGTGTTTGGTTTTTTGTCCTTGCAACAGTTTGCTGAGAATGATGGTTTCTTGCTTTATCCATGTCCCTACAAAGGACATGAACTCATCCTTTTTTACGGCTGCATAGTATTCCATGGTGTATATGTGCCACATTTTCTTAATCCAGTCTATCATTGTTGGACATTTGGGTTGGTTCCAAGTCTTTGCTATTGTGAATAGTGCCACAATAAATATATGTGTGCACGTGTCTTTATAGCAGCATGATTTATAATCCTTTGGGTATATACCCAGTAATGGGATGGATGAGTCAAATGGAATTTCTAGTTCTAGATCCCTGAGGAATCACCACACTGACTTCCACAATGGTTGAACTAGTTTACAGTCCCACCAACAGCATAAAAGTGTTCCTATTTAATCAAAATAATATTTTTTGATGACATTTATAAAATTATTAATTTTATTCAATAACTCTTCTTCAAAGATACTTTCTTTAATGAAATTTTAATTTATATTGAACTTATATTCAAATTTATTTAAAGACAGTGTCTTTGAAGAAAAGTTTATTGAAACATAGGCACACTCATTCCTTTACATATTGTGTATGGCTATTTACATGCTGCAACAGCAGACTTGCATAGTTGTCACAGAGACTATATGATCCACAAAGCCTAAAATATTTCCTATCTGGTCCTTTACTTAAAAATTTTGCCTATCCCTGTTTTCCACCAACATCATATTGTTTTAATTACTGTAGCTTAGTAACAAGCCTTGAAATCAGATAGTATTGGTCCTCTAACTTGGTTCTTCTTTTTCAAAGTTGTTTTGGCTATTCTAGAAACTTTCCAGTTCCATATGAAATTTAGAATCAGCATTTCAATTTCAATAATGCCACTGTGGTTTTAATTGTAACTGAACTGGATCTATGGATCAATCTGGGGAGAACTGGCATCTGAACAACAAAAAATCTTCTGACCTATGGACACAGTGTATCTCCCCTCTTACTAGTTTTTTGGTTCTTTTGTTCAGCAATGTTGTGTAGTTTTTAGTGCACAGGCGGTCATTGGCAGGAGTGTCCCTATTTTTCCTGGTCTTCTGTATTTCATGAAAACCAACAGCAGAGTTCCCCTGACCTATCCCCCTATGTGGTGCATCTCTCTTCCTCTGCAGGGAAAAAAATGGAAAAGAAAAAGGAAAATAAATTCATTCATGTAAGATTGTGGCAAAGTTTTAGTTTTAATTTTTCCTTTGAATCTAACCACAAAAGCCAAAACACACAACAACTATAAACTTTCTAGCATTGGATATGAAATGTCAAGGCAGGAAATATACGCATTCTGGTTGAATGTAGTACTCCTTTCTTAAAGTGGCAAATTTGTTTTTTTGAATGGCAAATTATGAAGCTCACTGAATGTGTTTCTTGGTTTATCATTGGGAACACCCATTCTGTGGTTAATGAAGACATTCTACCAGTCAGCCAGCCACTGTTTAGAATAATGTTGTTACATCCCATATCAATAAATTATGACTATAATGGCAATGATTTCCTTTGAAATACGTTGTTGTCATGACAAAAGACTTGTTTCCTGTGGGTGATCATCAGCCACATTCTGTTTCACCTCTGCTGTCAGGCAGCAATGGAAGTATGAGAGGTGCCTTGACATTTCTGGGTACTCTGTGCAAATCCTCTAAATCTCTTCTGAAATTCATTTTTCATCTAATCACCGCTCTGAGCAAAGATAGCCTTGGAGGGAAAAGACCCCTTCCCTGTGTGGGCCAAAGACTGGCCAGGTCAGGATTTGGCTGTCTTTCAGAGTGATGACTAAACCTGTTTGGAGAGATTCCAAAATTTGCTCTCTCACCACAAAGGATACCCTTATTGAAGGAAATTTTCTTTGATGTTCAGCTCAAATTCTTCCCTCACTCAGTTTTCACTCTATCATTCATAATCCGATCTCCTTAAAACAATTCCTCTTCCTTATGAAGCGTTTTCAACCTTTCAGACCTTCTCAAAAATTATATATTCTTCTGAGTGGTGACTAGATCAGGTTATATATATTTATCTTCAGATTAGTAATAAAAGAGTTGATAATATTTGTTTTACAATCACCAGGAAATTCCTTTTAAAAGCACTTCCTGGTAGCTCAGATTTGTAACATTCACATCAGATTTTAGTTTGTGAACTCCAGGTTCCTGGTTTCTTATGGAGATAAGAACCAACTGAACTAGAGAGCCCTGTGAATTGACCTGGATGTCTGCTGTGACTTTAGCAAATTAAAAAAGTAATACAGACAAAACGGATAAATTTATTGTTAACCTGTCTTGCTTAGACACACCATCTAATTAAAATGTAGTTGTCATCCATGAGCAGGGCTATCAAAACCAGACTTGAGTAAAGAAAAGTGGGACGCTACATGCTCATTCTGTTACTTAGTATCTTAAGTGATATTAGATAATCATTTTGATAACGTCTCTTTCATTTTCATAGACATCAGGAAGAGAAGACTAAGTTAATAAAAACAGTATTATCTCTATTTGGTAATATATAAACTCTTTAGTTAAATGAGAAGATTGCACATTGCTTCAGCCTCACCTTCTCTAATCCATTCCATTCTTTGCATTGCTGCAACCACTTGCCCACCTCTTGCTATCCCTGCTGCCACACCGTGCCCCAAGTCACCTGTCTTACATCTCTCTCCTGCACTATTGCAGTAGCATCCTTACCGGTCTCTCTGCTGCCACTCTTGCCACCAGCCAACCCATAATTTAATCAGAAGGCAGAATGATCTTTTAAAATAATAAATCATATCTGACTTACGTTTAAGTCATCAATCACCTTTTGACTTATAATCCTAAAAATCTGATGCATAGGACCTTTGTCAGTTGTGGTCACCTAACATCATTACAAATTCTCCCTCTATTTGAGTAACTTTCCACATTAGGAGCCCTACATTTACAAGGTGGAAGTGGGGGAGAAAATGACTTTCCAGACTCTTGCAGCCTGGAGGGCAGGTGTGTAAGCTGGATTCTACTGATCAAGAAACACCTGTGGGAGACTGGTTTGGGGCTGAACAATATGAGAAAGGGGCTTCGCAGAGACTGATCTCCTTGCCTGCTTGGAAGTTCCTGGCTCTCTGAAAGTGAATGCAGCAGGACTTCTGGGATTTAGACGCAAACCTTGGTGATAAAGGGAAAAGAAATTTGCACCAGAGCAGCCTCCACAGTGGGGTTGGGTGTGGATCCTGATGGCATGACTTCAGAGCCTGGCTTCTTAGCTTTCCCAAAGGATGTATAAAGAGTACTACCCTTAGACCTTGGCAAGTGAGACCTCTACTCTAAGCCTTGAGTCTCAGGGACCTCCATATTTTGGAGGACTTCTTTCATCATGGCCACACACACAAAAATAACATACAAAATGAAATAGGAATAAAGGACACAGAGACACACAAAATGATGAGTGACCTCATAACCAAGTATATGTATTACCTTATTTGTACAGGATATGGGAATGTCTGATACACCCAAGTAAGCCAGCCAATTGTCCTGGATTACGTGTAATACTTCCTTATTTCAATGCCAATAGATCCTTATGAAGCTAAAAATCACAGAAAAAAATCTTCATTTATCCAGTTTGCCTCACTTGTCCTACACTGTCATCTAATCACTTAAATGTTCATAGATTAGATTGATCATTTATTAACTGTCATGCATCACTTGAAACAAAATATTTGCCTGGGGGCCATATACCCTACAGGTAGTCCTAACTTTGAGCTGTTTAGCACTTGTTTTAATACATTCCTTTTCTGCCTAAACTAGCATAGTAGATCCTGCTGTTGGCAACACAGAATCTAGCCTGATACACTACACTAGGATAAAATCCAAACTCCCTAATGTAGTCCTCAAAGGTCCAGAATCTAGTACATATTTATGTTCCCAGACTCCTCTTATCTCCTCTATTCATCTGTTCATTCATTTATTCATTTAACAAAAATATATTAAATGCCTACCAAGTATCAGATAATAACCTAGAGGCTAGGAATACCACAGTTAAGAAAACGAACACCAGTTATGCTCTCATAAACTTTATGTTCTATGGAGAAAGACAGAATATGAATGAAGCAATGAGATAATCACAGACAGAGATAACTATAAGAGAAGAGATAAAAATGGGGCTCAAGTTGGGGAGTACTTTAGGCAGGGTGGTAAGGTATGAGAAGGTAAAATTTAAACAGAGAACTGAATGATGAGCAAGAACTAGCCACATGAAAAGCTTGAAGAAAAGTATTCTAAGCAGAAAGAACAGAACATGCAAAGGCTCAGAGAAGCAAGGCTGGTTTCCCGAAGAACAAACAGGTGACTGTGCTGCTGGAGGGTAGACAATGAAGGGAAGAAAAGTAGGAAATAAGGTCAAGGAGAGGCAAGAGGAGTCCCATGTATATATTTGCTCCATAAACTGAGTGGAGCAAATCATGATTTCACTATCATTGCTTCAAAGAGAGTAAAATACCTAGGAATCCAACTTACAAGGGATGTGAAGGACCTCTTCAAGGAGAACTACAAACCACTGCTCAACGAAATAAAAGAGGACACAAACAAATGGAAGAACATTCCATGCTCATGGATAGGAAGAATCAATATTGTGAAAATGGCCATACTAGTCAAGGTAATTTATAGATTCAATGCCATCCCCATCAAGCTACCAATGACTTTCTTCACAGAATTGGAAAAATCTACTTTAAAGTTCATATGGAACCAAAAAAGAGCCTGCATAGCCAAGACAATCCTAAGCAAAAAGAACAAAGCTGGAGACAATCATGCTACCTGACTTCAAACTATACTACAAGGCTACAGTAACCAAAACAGCGTGGTACTGGTACCAAAACAGAGATATAGACCAATGGAACAGAACAGAGCCCTCAGAAATAATGATACACATCTACAACCATCTGATCTTTGAGAAACCTGACAAAAACAAGAAATGGGGAAAGGATTCCCTATTTAATAAATGGTGCTGGGAAAACTGGCTAGCCATATGTAGAAAGCTGAAACTGGATCTTTTCCTTACACCTTATACAAAAATTAATTCAAGATGGATTAAAGACTTACATGTTAGACCTAAAACCATAAAAACCCTAGAAGAAAACATAGGCAATACCATTCAGGACATAGGCAGGGGCAAGGACTTCATGTCTAAAACACCAAAAGCAATGGCAACAAAAGGCAAAATTGACAAATGGGATCTAATTAAACTAAAGAGCTTCTGCACAGCAAAAGAAACTACCATCAGAGTGAACAGGCAACCTACAGAATGGGAGAAAATTTTCGCAATCTACTCATCTGACAGAGGGCTAATATCCAGAATCTACAAAGAACTCAAACAAATTTACAAGAAAAAAAACAACCCCATCAAAAAGTGGGTGAAGGATATGAACAGACACTTCCCAAAAGAAGACATTTATGCAGCCAAAAGACACATGAAAAAATGCTCATCATCACTGGCCATCAGAGAAATGCAAATCAAAACTACAATGAGATACCATCTCACACCAGTTAGAATGGCGATCATTAAAAAGTCAGGAAACAACAGGTGCTGGAGAGGATGTGGAGAAATAGGAACACTTTTACACTGTTGGTGGGACTGTAAACTAGTTCAACCATTGTGGAAGACAGTGTGGTGATTCCTCAGGGACCTAGAACTAGAAATTCCATTTGACCCAGCCATCCCATTATGGGGTATATACCCAAAGGATTATAAATCATGCTGCTATAAAGACACATGCACACCTATGTTTATTGTGGCACTATTCACAATAGCAAAGACTTGGAACCAACCCAAATGTGCATCAATGATAGACTTGATTAAGAAAATGTGGCACATATACACCATGGAATACTATGCAGCCATAAAAAAGGATGAGTTCGTGTCCTTTGTAGGGACATGGATGAAGCTGGAAACCATCATTCTCAGCAAACTGTTGCAAGGACAAAAAACCAAACACCACATGTTCTCACTCATAGGTGGGAATTGAACAATGAGAACACTTGGACACAGGAAGGGGAATATCACACACCGGGGCCTGTTGTGTGGTGGGGGGAGGGGGGAGGGATAGCATTAGGAGAAATACCTAATGTAAATGATGAGTTAATGGCTGCAGCACACCAACATGGTGCATGTATACATATGTAACAAATCTGCACGTTGTGCACATGTACCCTAGAACTTAAATAAAAAAAAAAAGAACCAACCCAAATGCCCATCAATGACAGACTGGATAAAGAAAATATGGCACATATACACCATGGAATACTATGCAGCCATAAAAAAAGGATTAGTTCATGTCCTTTGCAGGGACATGGATGAAGCTGGAAACCATCATTCTCCGCAAACTAACACAGGAACAGAAAACTAAACAGCACATGTTCTCACTCATAAGTGGGAGTTGAACAATGGGAACATATTGGCACAGGGAGGGGAACATCACACACTGGGGCCCATCGGGTGGTGGGGGGCAAGGGGAGGGATAGCATTAGGAGAAAAACGTAGCGTAGAGTATGGGTTGATGGGTGCAGCAAACCACCATGGCACATGTATACCTATGTAACAAACCTTCACGTTCTGCACATGTAGCTCAGAACTTAAAGTATAATAATAAAAAAAGAAAAGCACCAAAAAAAGAAAAAAAAAAGAAAAGAAATGACAGAGTTCCACTGCTATGGTTTGAATGTTTGTCTTCTCCAAAGATCACATTAAAATTTAATCCCTGATGTAATGGTATTAAGCAGCGTTAAGAGGTGGAACCTTTAAGAGGTGAGTGGGTGATGAGGGTTCTGTCCTCATGAATGGATTAATTAATTCATGGATTAATGGATTAATGGGTTATCACAGGCATGGGTTAGTTATCACAAGACTAGGTTGGTTATAAAAGCCAGTTTGGCATACTCTTGCCCTCTTGCTATGTTATGCCCTCCCATGTTATAATTCAGTAAGAAGGCCCTCACCAGATGCAGCCCCACAACCTCGGACTTCCCAGCCACCAGAACTGTAAAAACATAAATTTATTTTTAAAATAAATTAACCAGTCTGTGCTATTTTATATAATGATAATCATGAAGAACTATAAATTTCTGAAGTGCTTATGAGTCACCAGAATAATAGTATAGTTAATAGGCTTTAATGTGTCTTAATTACTTTGAGACATTGTTATCATTCTCATGTGATTGAAGATAAGACAGCAGAACACTCTTCTCTGGACCAGAAGCTCTTAGTTCAAGTCCTACTCTCTCTACTTACTAATACTGACCTTGACAAACCATGTAACTTCTTTGAATATCTTAGCTAATCTGCCAAATAGAGAATGCAATTCCTACCTTATGAAACTCATTGGGATTTTATGAGGCTCAGGTGAGTTGAACATGGCAGATGAGAACTCGGAGGACCTTATGCACTCTTGTATTAGTGAAGAAAATGAGATCCAACAAAATAACATGATTTACTAAATGCTGCACTGCTAGTTTTTAAAAGACTGTATTTTGTAAAAGTATTTCCTATAGAAAAAACAGTCTACAAATGAAGCTACTATTCTGAGTAACTCTTAAGTATTGAATAAATCAAAACATGCTTTATCTTGCCTTTTGGGGAAAAATGAGTTTTACTTCTAAAAAGTAAATGCATTATTATTCTCGCTTTGCAACTATGCTGATCAGTGACATATAGGGTGTTTGCAGTGATATTTAATTATAATAATAATGTTTAAGACCAGATGCATAGAGAACAAAATGAGTAGCTATAATGATGAAGATGATGTTAATAAGGAGGATGGTAACAGTACCGATGACTAAGTTAGGTACTTAAGTATATATTATCTTATTTGATTCTCTCAACAACACTCTGAGGTATCTGCATTTTATAGAGGAAGACACGGAGGTTCAGAAAAGTTCAGCAACTTGTCCAAGATGATATAGCAAGAAAGTGACAAAGGCATTGCTTTAAACTTCTGTTTTTTATCTAATGTCAAAGCAGCTCAACTTCTTTTACACTAGACTGACTTGTGTAACACCCATACAACCTTGATTATTTGAAGCCCACCTCTACCTAGCCATTTCTCCTGTAGGTACATTTTCCCATGAAATGTAAGCCAGGAAAGACTAAAACTCAGCTGTTACATCTGTCATCTCTCGCTCTTCTCATCCTCTTCAGATTCTGCAGTTCTGCAAACTGGCATACTTCACTGAACACCAATTCAGTGCAGAGGGCTGTGCTGGGGCCAACTGGCCTGAGTGGAGTGCGGTTGGTCTACAGACAGAAGAGCACTCGCTCTAGCTCGTTGACCTCCTTTTAGTGTGTATGAGAACAGCCAAGATGGAGACAACTTGCTCATAGAAGCAAAGTAGGATGCATTTTCATAGTCTGCCCCCTCTAAGCCATTTCCTGCCCTGAAGCCTGGTATCCTCACATATGTGAAAGGATATCAAATTCTACTTTCATAACTTGCCAGAATAAGTGTTTGAAATGCCAGCAGATACCACAGGGCAAGGGCTGCCTATGTGTTATAGGTCTGTCACCTTAATGTTTTGGAGGCTGTAAGGTCCCCCAAACAACCCAAACTGACATAGTGCCCCCTTAGTTCTCTGCTCACTGGAGATTTCACCAGGCAAGATTTCTCTTCTGAAAACCCAAAAAGACTTGGATTTTCTCAGCATCTGCTACACAGCCCAGTCAGCAGAACAGCAGTAAATGTCTGAACTCCCTAGCTCCCTTTCTCTCCCCTTTGTTTTTCTGTTTTGGCAGAGAAATGTTAACCAGCCCCTAACAAAAGCCAATTCTGAGGTTAAAAGGGGATGGTGGAAGGGACAGGAAGAAAATCAACAAGCCTCCCCATTTCCTCCCTTCCAATCCAATTGCTAGATTGGAGAAGGTGCAAAATGCCACCATGGGAGCCTTGCCCACTGTAGTATTTTGGTGTGTCACTGGCAGGGGTAAAAAGTAAAGTGCAAAAGATAGTGCTTTGTTTTCTGCTTTTGCACACAGAGACTGCTTTTTCAGGTAAAGAAAATGTTGACCAAAGAAAATAAAGGGAAAGACTGCCTCTTTCTTTACCAACACAAAATGTGTAGCATTGTTCTAATAGAAGAAATGTGCTTCCGAGGGTGGAGCAGTGTGGTAATAAAGCAGCCTATTTTTGCAACTTGGCGTTACCTTTGGGCCTTCTCACATAACCTCGATGGACAGTTGCAACACAGCAAAGAACACTATAGCCTTATTGTTATGCACCCCACCTCTTTTATACTCTGACTTTAACCCACACAATGACACTGTGTCTTTTAGGCCACAGTATACTTATTGTTCAGTGGACATAAAGGTTGGTGAATAAGAAAACTATGTCTTAGAAAAGCAAGCTCTAATATCACTAAGTGTAGACATATATTTTAAGATTTGTTCCAGAATATGTAGACATGGGGGGAAAAAACTTGGTCAATCCTTGGATTTTATTAAATTAAACAGAACTTAGAAGGTGAGGGAATTGGGAGACCCAAGGGCATGAAGTAAAACAATTGACCAGTTGATCTGCGTAGTAGAGAAGGGAATATGGGTTCATAGCACTGGGTATTACTGCTTGACTCCCAAGTTCTCAGGGCTGCAATGAGGACTATGAAAGCTAAAAAGACATTTCCTCCAAGGCATCTAAACCCACAGCGGCAGTTCTCAGTTCTATGCAACTAATATTTGCTTAACTCTCAGTGGTACCCACTACTTTTCTTAGGACAAGATGTCTTTTCCATAGCAAATCTGACATGGATGGTGATGAAAGTGGTGTCAGATACCATGTTAGGTCATTTGAAGAATGTTCCTCTTCCAGAGAACTTTCTGTTTAAAATAATTAAGAAATCACAAACTTTTTCCATTTTTTTATTTTTTTGTGCACTTAAAGAAGATTTAATAAGTACCTACTATGTGCCTGGCATGCTTAGTAACTGGGATGACAAATATGAATGAAACCTATTCTCTTCTAAATTCCTCAGTTGCTTACAGCCTCTCCTAAATGCTATTTTATACTAACGTGCAGTTCTGCTGAAACTATTTTCTTCCTCTTGGGTCTCCTTTATGAGAAACCTGGGAGAAATTACTGTCTGGTATGGGAACCAAGAAGAACTGTACTTGTGAGCAATTGGCTTGTATTAATATTACACTTTGAACCATGTAACTGACCAGTTTCCCCTTTCCTGTGATAGTTAAAGATAAATGTTGTCCCACCAGAAGCCAACAAAAAGGTCACTGTGGTTTGAATTTTCTGAATCTTATACCAAGACCATACTACTCTTCCTTATTTTTCTTCTTTTACTTCTTTCCTTTCCTTCTTTTTCTATATTTTAAAATTCATTTTTTAATATTTTGTATGTCCACAAAGCTGACTTTAATTTCAAAAGCATAGTGGCACTGAATAAATAAATAAATGAACAAATAGTTGTTTCCCTAAAACTAGATTTCAAGAGACTCTCATTGCAAAGGAGTTATTTATCTTTGAAGGGTGAAAGCAGAAATAACCAAGTGACAAGGAGAATAAACAGATCAAACCCTCAGCAGCTGTCCATGAAGACATGGAGCAACAGATGTCAGGAAACCATGAAGTAGCTGCATCATCATGTCATACACAGTGGAGCCAGGGCCCATTTGGAGAAAGCATTTTGATGTTTCCCAGATTTTAAAATAAAAATGATTAAGCAATCTTTAAATTAAACCTTAAACTTTTCAATGTGTACTCTATCTACTTAATCCAGCATTTTTTGTTCGTTGACTTTTTCCAGCCTCTAAGGACAGGAAAATTATCAGCACAGAAAATGAAACTAAGCCTTGAAAGTATAAAAAGAATCACATCTTACATCTGCAGATTAAATTGAATGTTTGGAGCTATTTTCATCTATTATTTTCATTGATTTTCTCAGATTATAGAAGTTCTAATAAAAACGTTGTAAAATAATTTTTAAAATATTTTATAATAAAGCAATAATTAGTACAAAATAATTGAGCAATATAAACTTTTAAAATATTTATTCATTCACTAAATATTTACTGAGTGCCTGTATGTGCTAGGCTCTGAGAACAAAGTATAAAACAAATTATGTTTTGTTTTTACTTTTATAGAACCTACTCTCTTGGAGAAGATAAACAATAAACAACTACTTATACTAATAAACGTATAATTTCCCAGTATGATCAAAGTATTATAAAGGGAAAATGTTATTGTTTCAGGTATCTACTAACTTGTAACCAACCACCCAAAACTTAGTCATGTAAAACAACAACCATTCTGTTAACGATCATGATTTTGTGGGTCACGAATTTTAGCAGAGCATAGTATGGACAGCTAGTCTTTGCTCCACAATGACTCAGGCCTCTGCTGGGGTGGCTTGAACAGGTGAAGAAGACTGGGACAATGAGAATGGATCCATATATCTGCAGCCTTGGATCTTTTCTACATCAGACTAAATGTCTAAAATAGTGTATTCACTTCCATATTTGTCACCTGCCCTGGAATGATTGGTTCTATGCAGCTGTTCCATGTGACTCACATGAACCTCCTCACAGCATAGCAGTATCAGGGTAATCAAACTTTTCAAATGGCAGCTGGCCTCTCTGAGAGTGAGGATTCCAAGAGGAAAGACACAGAAACTGCCAGTCTTTCAAGGCCCGAGCACACAAATTGGCATGGTGCCATTTCTACCACAGTCTATTGTCCAAACAGTTTTAGTAATTATTAAGATTCAAGGGAGGGGTCATAGAGCCTACCTCTCATTAGGAGGAGTGTTAAAGACTTCCCTAGATCAAAAAAAGCCAGAAATCATCAAACTGCTATGAGAGAAAAAAAAATTACTAACCTATAATTCTATACCCAATTAGACTATCATCCAAATCAATCAGTTTCAGGCAGATACTGAGAGCATAAAGGCAGAACTACAAAAGAATATTCATCAGAAAGAAAGAAGTTAATTGTGTACAGGCATACCACCCTGAACATGCCCAGTCTCTTCTGATCCCTAAAGCTAAGTACAGTTGGACCTGGTTAGTACTTGGACAGGAGAAAGAAGGAATTTAACACAGAATTAAGGTATAAGGTGCAAAAATAAGAGAAAAAAATGAGTAAATAAGCACTGACTCTATAAATCGATATCATAAAAATGATTAGTTGGAATGTTATAAAATTAAGGTGGAGGTAAAGGATAAGACATAACGTACAAGATAAGAGGGCATAATGAGATCTTTAAAAACCTAAGTTCTGTGTATTATTTGATATCCTTGTGTATGTATTTATTTATTTTTATTTCCATAGGTTATTGGGGAACAGGTGGTGTTTGGTTACATGAGTAATTTCTTCAGTGGTGATTTGTGAGATTTTGGTGCACCCATCACCTGAGTAATATACACTGAGATACCCTTGTGTATTTAGAGCTATAAACAATATTGATTAATGTTTAGGTTTATTAAATCAAAAATATCTATTATAATTTTAAAGCAATTAAGCTTCTTCCAAGCTTAAAAGAATGAAAATATATTGTAAACTAAACTAATAGAGTTGTAAAATATGAGAGATGAACATGTTCAAAATTATACAAGGCAGGGGAGCTTTTTAAAAATAAAAGCATGATAAATAAGGTGATAAAAATAATGAAAAATCAATAATCACATTAAGTGTTACATGAAAACTCACCTTTTAAGTATAGTCTTTAACAAGATTTTAAAATCTAGCTTTTTGCTGTTTACTAAAGGTACTGCAAAAAACATAAAATAAAGAAAGATTGAAAATAAAGGATAAAGAATCCTATGATGGAAAAATACTATACAAGAGATATATGGAATAACTTTTAATATCAGACAAATGTTTAGGCAAAAAGTAACTAGTAATAACAAAGAAATTCATTAATAAGAAGTAGCCATTTGGAATTTATATAGCCCAAATATCAAGGGTTCAAAGTACAAAAAGTAAAAATGGGCATAATTACTGGTAGAAATTAGCAAGAATAATCACAATGTAAAATTGTAACATGCCTCCCTTAATAATTGGTAAGTCAAATTAAAAAATATAGCATAATAGTTTTCTTGTTGTATAACAGGCTACCATAAACTTAGGCACTTAAAGCAGTAGCCATTTATTACAGCGCTATTTCTGAAGATGAGAAGTCTGGATTCTCTGCTCAGTAGCTCACAGGACTGAAATCAAGGTATCATTTTTATCTGGAGCTCAGGGGCTTCTTCCACGCTCATTCAATTTTTGGCAGAATTTAGTCCCTTACGGCTATAAGACTGAGGTCCTTGTTTTCTTGCTGTCTGGTAGAAGGGGGTTGCTCTCAGCTCCTAAAGGTCACCCTGGGCTTCTAGCCACCTTTCTTTTGATTAACTTATAGTCAACTCATTAGCAACCTAGTCAAGGGAGTGAAATCTCATCATATTCACAAGCCCCATGCATACAAAAGGAAAAATTGTTGAAAACAGAGGCCTGGAATATTTGAGACCATCTTATAATTCTATCTACCACATAAAGTACTTACATATAAAATGTAATCAAAAAGTGAATTTGACTTAATGGACATTAATAGAATATTGCGTTCAGTAGCTCTAAATTTATCAAAATTTGTCATGTATGAAGGCACAAAGTAAACCTAAGTAAACTCCTAAAGAATCTAATCACTAAAAAAGAATAATATATAGCAATATTTAGTTTAGCAATAAATCAGTATCAGAAGAATAAACAAAATATTTTAAAATGGGATAATTCATGGTTCAAAGAGGACACCATGCTTGAAATTTAAAATTACTTAAAACAATTAAAATTGACATATGGAATATAGCTAAAATTGCATTAAAGGAAAATACATAACCTTCTGTGTTTATAATAGAAAAGAATAAACGAAGACTTTAACTTGAAAAGAAAGTGAAAGAACAATAGAACAATCACAAAGAAAGTAGAAGAAAAACAAATGGTAATAGAAACTAATTGAATTAGCTGGGCTGGGTGGTACATGCCTGTAATCCCAGCTACTCAGGAGGCTGAGTCAGGAGAATTGCTTGAACCCAGGAGGTGGAGGTTGCAGTGAGGTAAGATGGCACCACTGCACTCCAGCCTGGGCAACAGAGCAAAACTCCATCTTGAAAAAATAGAATGTAATGAAGAAGAAGAGAAAGAGACTACTGAGAAGATCAGCAAAAACAAATAGAAATTTCACAGATATATGAACTGTAAATATTTTGAAAGTAATTTAAACAACTTTAGGTCAATACATTTGAAAATTTAGATAAAATAGATATTTTCTTAAGTATAACTAATCAAAACTGGCTCAAGAAATAAAAACATTAATAGACTCATAAGTTATAATAAATGTAGTCAGTAATATAAAATATCTTCCTATAAAATGATACTAGGCACAAATATTTTACAGAGCTATTATACACATTATTTGAAAAATATTATTGAATATATGCAAGTTCTTCCAGAAAACACACTGCTCTGCAACTCATTTTATGAGGTTATCATTTTACAATATTGTAATCTTTTTAAATTTTTAAATTTTTAATTTTTATGGGTACATAGTAGGTGTATATATTCATGGGGGACATGAGATATTTTGATACAGGCATTGCAATGTGAAAATAATCACATCATGGAGAATGGGGTATCCATACGCTCAATCATTTATCCTTTGGGTTACAAACAATTCAATTACACTCTTTTGGTCATTTTAAAATGTACAATTAGGTTATTATTAACTATAGTCACCCTGTTGTGCTATCAAATTACTAGGTCTTATCCATTCTTCTGTATTTGTTTTTGTACCCATTAAGCATCCCCACCTCCCCCTTAGCCCTCTGCTATACTCCCCAGCCTCTGGTAACCATCCTGCTACTCTCTATGTCTATGAGTTCAATTGTTTTTATCATTAGATCTCGTAAATAAGTGAGACCATGTCATGTTTTTCTTCCTGTGCCTAGCTTATTTCACTTAACATAATGATCACCAGTTCCATCAATGTTGCAAATGAATAAATCTCATTCTTTTTTATGACTGAATAGTACTCCATTGTGTATATGTATCACGTTTTCTTTATTCATTCATCTGTTGATGGACACTTAGGTTGCTTCCCAATCTAGCTATTGTAAACAATGCTGCAACAAACATGTGAATGCAGATATCTCTTCAATACACTGATTTCCTTTCTTTTGGGTATATACCCAGCAGTGGGATTGTGGGATCATATGGTAGCTCTATTTGTAGTTTTGTGAGGAACTTCCAAACTCTTCTCCATAATGATCATACTAATTTACATTCCCACCAACAATATATGAGAGTTCCCTTTTCTCCACATCCTCGCCAGCATTTGTTATTGCCTGTCTTTTAATATAAACCATTTTACCTGGGGTAAGATGATATCTCATTGTACTTTTAATTTATATTTCCCTGATGATCAATGATGTTGAACATTTTTTCATATGTCTACTTGCCATTTATATGTCTTCTTTTGTGAAATGTCAAATCTTTTGCCCATTTTTCCTATAGAATTGTTTGAACTTCTGATATATTCTTGTTATTAATCCCTTGTCAGATGGGTAGTTGGCAAATATTTTCTCCCATTCTGTGGGTTGTCTCTTCACTTTGTTGTTTCCTTTGCTGTGCAGAAGCTTTTTAACTTGATGTGATCCTATTTGTCTATTTTTGCTTTAGTTGCCTGTGCTTGTGGGGTATTGCTCAAGAAATCTTTGCCCAGACTGATGTCCTGGAGAAGGTCCCCAGTGTTTTCTTGTAGTAGTTTCATAGTTTGAGGTCTTAGATTTATGTCTTTAATCAATTTTGATTTGATTTTTGTATATTGTGAGAGGTCAGGGGTCTAGTTTCATTCTTCTGCATATGGATATCCAGTTTTTCCCAGCACCATTTATTGAAGAGACCGTCATTTCCCAGTTTCATCAGTCTTTTTTGATGCAGGCACTTATAGCTATAAAATTTCTTCTTAGTACTGTTTTTGCAGTATCCCATAGGTTTTGGTATGTTGTGTTTTTATTATCATTTGTTTCAAGAAATTTTTCAAATTCCTTCTTAATTTCTTCATTGATGTACTGTTCATTCAGGAGCATATTGTTTGATTTTCATGTATTTGTGTAGTTTCCAAAATTCTTTATTATTCATTTCTAGTTTTATTCCACTGTGGTCAGACAAGATGCTTAATATTATTTCAGTTTTTTGGACGTTTTAAAACTTGTTTTGTGACCTAACATATGGTTTATCCTTGAGAGTTATCCATGTACTGAGGAAAATAATGTGTATTCTGTAGCCATTCAATGAAATGCTCTGTAAATATCTATTAGGTCTATTTGGTCTGTATTGCAGATTAAGTGTGATATTTCTTTGTTAATTTTCTGTCTGGGAGATCTGTCCAATGCTGAAAGTGGGATATTGAAGTCTCTAGTTACTATTATATTGGGGCCTATCTCTCTCTTTAGCTCTAATAATATTTGCTTTATATATCTGGGTGCTCCCATATTGGGTGCATATATATTTAAAACTGTTATATCCTCTTGCTAAATTGACCCCTTTATCATTATCATTATATAGTGAACTTTTTTTGTCTCTTTTAGCTTTTGTCTTCAAATCTATTTTGTCTGATATAACTACTCCTGTTCTTTTTTGGTTTCCATTGGCATCAAATATCTTTTTCCATCCCTTTATTTTTAGTCTATGCGTGCCTTTATAGGTTAAGTGTGTTTCTTGTAGACAACAGATCAATGGGTCTTGTTTATTCATCCATTTTGCCACTGCATGTCTTTTGATTGGAGATTTTAGTCTATTTACATTCAATGTTACTGTTTATAAGTAAGGACTTACCCTTGTCACTTTGTTATTTGTTTACTGGTTGTTTTGTGGTCTTCTCTTTCTTCTTTCCTTCCTGACTTCCTTTAGTCAAAGTGATTTTCTCTGGTGATACAATTTAGTTTCTTGTTTTTTACTTTTTGTGTCTCCATTGTATGCTTTTTAGTTTGAAGTTACCATGAGGCTTTCAATTACTATCTTATAAACCCATTATTTCAACCTGACCACAACTTAACACTGTTTACATAAACAAACAAGCAAAAAGAAAATAAAAACTCTATCTCTCAACGTCATCACCCTACTTTTAAACTTTTTATTGTTTCTATTTACATTTTATTGTACTGCTTATGTCTCCTGGCCTGTAAGGTTTCCACTGAAAAGTCTGCTGACAGGCATATTGGAGCTCCATTGTACATTATTTGCTTCATTTCTCTTGCTGCTTTTAGAATCTTTTCTTTATCCTTAATCTTTGGGAGTCTGATTATTAAATGCCTTGAGGTAGTCTTATCTGGGCTAAATCTGTTTGGTGTTCTATAACCTTCTTATACTTGGATATTGATATCTTTCTCTAGGTTTGGGAAGTTCTCTGTTATTATCCTTTTGAATAAACTTTCTGCCCCTCCTCTTTCTCTGCCTCCTCTTTTGTTGTTCTTATTTACATCTTATTGTACCAATTATGTCTTGAAAAGTTGTTGTAGTTATTATTTTTGACTCATTCATTGTTTAGTCTTTCTTCTTAGGATAACAGTAGTTTACACACCACAGTTATGATTTTATAATATTCTGTGATTTTCTGAGTGCTTACTATTACCGGTGAGTTCTGTACCTTCAGGTGATGTGTTATTGTTCATTAACATCCTTTTATCTCTGATTGAAATACTACCTTTAGCATTTCTTGAGGACAGGTCTGGTGTTGATGAAATCTCCCAGCTTTTATCTGTCCGGAAAAGCCTTTATTTCTCCTTCATGTTTGAAGGATATTTTCATCAGATATATTATTCTAGGGTAAAAGTTGTCTGTGTTTTTTTTTCCTTCAGCACTTTATGTCATGCTGCTCTCTCCCAGCCTGTAAGGTTTTCACAGAAAATTTTCCTGCAAGATGTATGGGAGATCCATTGTATGTTGTTTGTTTCTTTTCTCTTGTTGCTTTTAGAATCCTTTCTTTATTCTTGATCTTTGCAAGTCTGATTATTAAATGCCTTGAGGTAGTCTTCTTTGGGTTAAATCTGCTTGGTGTTCTACAACCTTCTTATGCTTGGATATTGATATCTTTCTCCAAATTTGGGAGTTCTCTGTTATTATTCATTACAATAAACTATCTACCTCTATCTCTTTCTCTACTTCTTCTTTAAGGCCAATAACTCTTAGATTTGCCATTTTAAGGCTATTTTCTAGATTCTGTAGGCACACTTCATTGATTTTTATTCTTTTTCCTTTTGTCTCCTCTGACTGTGTATTTTCAAGTAGCTTGTCTTCAAGCTCACTAACTCTTCCTTCCACTTGATCAATTCTGCTACTAAAAGATTCTGATGCATTCTTCTGTATGCCAATTGCATTTTTTTCAGCTCCAGAATTTCTGCTTCTTTTTGATTATTTCAATCTCTTTCTTAAATTTATCTGACAGAATTATGAATTCCTTCTCTATGTTCTCTTGAATTTCTTTGAGTTTCCTCAACATACCTATTTTGAATTCTCTGTCTGAAAGGTCACATATCTCTGTTTCTCCAGGATTAGTCACTGGTGCCTTTAGCTCATTCAGTGAGGTCATGTTTTCCTGGATAGTGTTGATGCTGGTAGACGTTCGTCAGTGTCTGGGCACTGAAGAGTTAGGTATTCATTGCAGTCTCCTCAGTCTGGGCTTGTTTGTACCTGTCCTTCTTGGGAAGGCTTTCCAGAAATTTGAAGGGACTTAGGTATTGTGATCTAAGCTGTATCTGCTTTAGGGGGTGCCTCAAGCCCAGTAATGCTGTGGTTCTAGTAGACTTCTAGAGGTACTACCTTGATGATCTTGGACAAGACTCAGGAGAATTTCCTGGAATACCCAGCAAAGACTCTTCTTCTCTTCCATTACTTTCTCCAAAAAAGTAGTCTCTCTCTCTGTTCTGAGCCACCTAAAGCTGGGGAAGGAGTGACACAAGCACCCATGTAGCCACCACCACTATGACTGTGCTGGTTCAGACCTGAAGCCAACACAGCACTGGGTCTTACCTAAGCCCTGCTATGATCACTCCCTGGCTACTGCTTATGTTTTCTCAAGGCACTGGGGCTCCAGAGTCAACAAGTGGCAAAGGCCAGCCAGATTTGTATCCTTCTTTTCACATCAACGAGGTCCCCTAGGTGGGTCCAGAGGTACCATTTGGGAGTCAGGGACTAGATCAAAAACCTTAGAAATCTATCTAGTGTTCTATTGTACTGAAACTGAGTTGGGACTCAAACCACAAGACACAGTCCTTCCCACTCTTTCCTCTGCTTTCCAAAAACAGAGGAGCCTCACCTCATAGCCACTGCCACCACAAGCCACAAGGAGAACTACTAGACTACCACCCATATTCCCTTAAGGACCAAGGGCTCTTAAATAAGACTGTGGTGAATGCTGCCTGGCCTATGACTCACCTTTTAGGACACTGGGCTCCACTCTGTAACAGGGCAGAACCAGAAATGCCATCCAAGAGTCAAGTTCTGGAATCAGGGACCCCCAATAGCTCACTTGGTCCTCTCCCCTGTGGCCATGCTGCTACCCACGATGCAAGAAAAAGTCCCCTTTACTTTTCCCTCTGCTTTTCTCAAGCAGAAGGAGTTTTGCCTCATAGCCACCACAGCTAGTATTGTGCTGAGTCTCACTGAAGCCAGTAAGTCTCAGAGGTTCACCCAACACCCTCGATGTAGTGCCTGGGTATTACTGCTGGTTATTCAGACCCCAAGGGCTTCAGTGAGCAGGTGATAAATGGTGTCAGGACTCGGCCCTTCCCTTCAAGGTTGTGGGTTCCCTTCTGGCCCAGGGTGTGTCTAGGGTCATCCACGATCTAGGGTCATTCCAGGCTGATATCCAAGAAGCAAGACAAAGTCCTCCCCGACTCTTCTCTCTCCCCTCTTTCAGTGGAAGGAAGATGTAACTTTTGGAACAGTGTCCTATGCAATCTGAGGTTAAAGGAGGGGTGATGCCAGCACTCCCTTACTTGCCCCAGCTGGTGTCTCAGTAGATCGCGTGCTCCCCCAATCCACTGTCTCTGGTCCTAGTTTGGGACTAGGTCTTACCTAAAAGTTGCAGCCCTTATGGCCCAGGCTGCCTTTCAAGTTTACTTAGAGACATAATGTACTTTTATCCTCAGTGGCAAAGTTTGCAGGAACTCAAGTTTAGACCTCTGGGATAGGTGATTTCCCTCTGGCTAGGGATGGTTTAAATAATCTGTCTGTGGGCAAGCATCAGCTGAGTTTTGTCAGGTTTTCCTTTCTGCTGTAGCAGGACAGCACTGAGTTCAATGCCTCAGGACTGCCGTGCCCTTCCTCCCCAAGCACCCAGAGATGATCTCTGCACCATGCCTGCTACTGCAGGGAGAGCCAAGTGGAGGAGGGATATGTCAGCAATTCAATTCAGGACTGCTTTTTTCTACGTGTTTAGTGCCTCTTTTAGTGATATGAAGTTAAAACCAGGTACTATGAGTGCACACCTGAATTTTGTTCTTACGAAGGTATATTTTCTGTGTAGATAGTTGGTAAATTGGTGTATTTGTTGGGGGAACAATTGGTGGAGCTTTCTATTCTGACATCTTGCTCTACCTCCTCCTAATAGTGTAGTCTTAATTAAAAAAAAAACAGTTAAGGCAATATGAGAAAGAGAGTAGATGACATTATCAAATATGAACCAAAAATTTATAAATTAACTCAAATATTATAAATAAAATACTTGGATTAGTTTTTATACTGCTATAAAGAACTGCCTGAGATTGCATAATTTACAAACGAAAAAGGCTTAATTGACTCACAGTTCAGTATGGCTGGAGAGGCCTCAGAAAACTTACAATCATGGAGGAAGAAGAAGGGGAAGCAAGACACCTTCTTCACAACACAGCAAGAAGTAGAAGTGCCAAGGGAAGGGTGAAGAGTCCCTTATAAAACCATCAGATCTCATGAGAACTCACTCACTATCATGAGAACAGCATGGGGGAAGCCATCCCCATAATTCAAGTACCTCCACCAGGTCTCTCCCTTGACATGTGAGGATTACAATTCGAGATGAGATTTTGGTGGGGACACAAGGCCTAACCATATCATTCAGCCCCTGGTCCCTCATAAATCTCATGTCCCATTAACATTTCAAAGCCAATCATGCCTTCCCAACACTCCCCCAAAGTCTTAACTCATTCCAGCATTAACTGAAAAGTCCAAGTCCAAATCCAAAGTCTCATTGAGATAAGGCACATTCCTTCCACCTATGAGCCTGTAAAATAAAAAAGTAAGTTACTTCTGAGATAAAATGGGCATGCAGGCATTGGGTAAATTCTCTCATTCCAAATGGGATAAACTGGACCCAATAAAGGGTTTACAGGTCCCACACAAGTCTAAAACCCAGTAGGGCAGTCATTAAATTTTAAAGCTTCAAAATGATCTCCTTTGACTACATCTTATATGCAGGGCATGCTGATGCAAGGCATGGACTCCTAAGGTCTTGGACAGCTCTTCCTCTGTGGCTCTGCATGGTACAGCCCCCATGGCTACTTTCACAGGCTGGCATTGAGAGCCTGGGCTATTCCAGGTGCATGGTGCAAGCTGTTGGTGGATCTACCTTTGTGGGGTCTGGAGGATGATGGCCCTCTTCTCACAGCTCCACTAGGCAGTACCCCAGTGGGACTCTGTGTGGGGGTTTCCACACTGCCCTAGCAGAGGTTCTCCATGAGGGCTCTACAGCAAACTTCTGCCTGGACATCCAGGCATTTTCACACATTCTCTGAAACCTAGACATAGGTTCTCAGTTCTTGACTTCTGTACACCTGCACGCCCAACACCACATGTAAGCCACCAAGGTTTGGAGCTTGCACCCTCTGACGCAATGGCCTGAGCTGTATGTTGGTCCCTTTTAGCCATGGCTTGGATGCAGGGCACCAAGTCTCAAGACTGCACAAAGCAGCAAGGCCCTGGGCCCATCCCATGAAACCATTTTTTTCCCCTCCTATGCCTCTGGGCCTGTGATGGAAGTGGCAGCCATGAAGACCTCTGACATGTCCTGGAGACATTTTCCCTATTGTCTTGGTGATTAACATTTGGCTCCTTGTTACTTATGCAAATTTCTGCAGTTGGCTTGAATTTCTTCTCAGAAAATGGATTTTTCTTTTCTATTGCATTGTCAGGCTACACATTTTCTAAAGTTGTATTCTCTGCTTCCCTTTTAAACGTAAGTTCCAATTCCAAATCATCTCTTTGTGAATGCATAATACTGGATGCTTTTAAGAGCACCCAAGTCACTTCTTGAACACTTTGCTGCTTAGAAATTTCTTTTGCCATATACCCTAAATCATCTCTCTAAACTCCAAGGTTCCACAGATCTCTAGGGCAGGTGCAAAATGCCATCAGTTTCTTTGCTAAAGCATAGCAAGAGTGATATTTACTCTAGTTCCCAGTAAGTCCCTCATCTCCATCTGAAATCACCTCAGCCTGGACTTCATTGTCCATATCACTATCAGCATTTTAGTCAAAGCCATTCAATAAATCACTAGGAAGTTCCAAACTTTCTCACACCTTCCCATCTTCTTCTGAGCCCTCCAAACTGTTCCAACCTCTGCCTGTTACCCAGTTGCAAAGTCACTTTCACATTTTTGGGTATCTTTATAGAAGCTTCCCACTTCCGGTACCAATTTACTATATTAGTCCATTTTCATACTGCTACAAATAACTGTCCAAGACTGGGTAATTTATAAAGAAAGAGGTTTAATTGACTCACAGTTCAGCATGGCTAGGAGGCCTCAGGAAACTTACAATCATGGAAGAAGGGGAAAGAAAGGGAAGCAAGGCACCTCCTTCACAAGGCAGCAGGAAGGAGAAGTGCTGAGAGAAAAAAGAAGAGCCCTTTATAAAACCATCAGATCTTGTGAAAACTCACTATTCAGAGAATAGCATGGGGGAAACCACCCCCATGATTCAATTACTTCCACCTAGTCTCTCCCTTGACACCTGGGGACTGGGGGTACTACAATTCAAGATGAGATTGGGTGAGAACACAAAGCCTAACCATATCAATATTATTAAACTGAAGCCAGCAAAAGAGAAATAATTACATCACTGTAAACTTAGGCAAGTATGTTCAACATTAGAAAAGCTATTACATAAATTCACTGCATTAACAAATTAAAGAAGAAACATATGAGCTCATCAGATACAGAGGCACATTTGATAGGAGCAATTATTTTTATAATAAAACACAAAACAGAAATGAAAGAAAACTGTCTCCATTGATTAAGTATACCTTTTAAGACTTGCAACCATTATACTTAATGAAGGAATAAGAGACCCAGAGCCTTTGAGTCAAGAACTAAGTAAGGCTACCAATTCTATTCACATTGCTCATGAAATCCTAGACAAAACAAATTTGTTAACAAAAAGGAGAAAAAAAGTTATATGATTTGGAAACTTACATTACAGTCAACCCTTGAACAACATGGGTTTGAAGTGTGAGGGTCCACTTACATGCAGACTTTTTTCAATAAATACATTGGAAAAATTTTTGGAGATTTATGACAATTTGAAAAAACTTACAGATAAAACACATAGCCACAAAATATTTTTAAAAATTTAGGTATGTCATGAATGTATAAAATTTATGTAGAAACTAGTCTACTTTGTTAGTATCATAAAATATATGCAAACTTATTATAAAAACTTAAAATTTAGTTTAAAACTAACACACACAAACACTTACAGACCATACACGGCACCAATCACAGTCAAGAGAAATGTAAATAAATGTGAAGATGCAATATTAAATCAAAGCTGAATAAATTTACTCTAGTGCATACTATACTACTATAAAAGTTGTATAACCACTCCTGTTGCTATTGTGGTGAGCTCAAATGTTGCAAATGTCCACTTCAATCACCATGTGATGCTCATCACCTCTGTGTGAGCAGTTTGTCTCCTCGGTAAATTACATCCCATAGTAAAAAGTGATCTCTTGTCATTTTTGCCTATTTTCATCGTGTTTAGTGCCATATGGCAAACCTTGAATAACACCATGAGAACCATATGAAGTGCCACTAGTCATGCTGGAAGTGTTCCCAAGAAGCAGAGAAAAGTCATGACATAACAAGAAAAAGTTAAATTGCTTGATATGTACTGCAGATTGGAGTCTGCAGCTGCGATTGCCTGCCATTTCAGACGGATGATTCATCTTGTGAACAGATGATGTAAACTTACAGTATTGACAAATACACTAATTACTGTAAATGTATTTTTTCTTATAATTTTCTTAATATTTCCTTCTGTTTACTTTTAGTAAATATGCAGTATATAATACATATAGCATACAAAATATGTGTAACTCACTGTTTAGGTTATAGGTAAGGCTTCCAGTGAACAGTAGGCTATTAGTAGTTAAGTTTTATGAGAGTCAAAAGTTATACACAACTATGTGACTGTGAGGTGGAGAGTGGCATCCTCAACCCCACGTTGTTCAAGGATCAACTGTAATTTGTAGGTAATGTCAAAGTCTATCTACATAGAAAATTTACAATTTCCTATAGAAAACAATTAGTATAATTAAGGAAATTCAAAATATAGTTATGTATAAGATAAATGAGTGAAATCAATTATATTTTAATCTATCAGAAATAATTGAGAAGTACAAATTCTAAAAAATAAATGACACTAAATCTAACAAAACATATGCAAGACCTGTATGGAGGATATTATTTAATTATACTGAAAAACACAGAAGATTTAATTAAAGAAAATATATTCTATGTTCATGGATGGGTAGACTAAGTTACATAAGATGCCAATTCTTCGCAAATTAGTCCAAAAAAGTCAATACTAATTAAAATTTCAATAAGTTAGTTTTTGGAGCATAATAAGTCAATTCTGAAATTTATATGCAATAGCAAAAAGACAATAATTAGCTAAGAGAATTTTTGAGGAAAAAGGGCAAGTATCAAAATATCAAGACTTATTTTAATGTAATAGTAGTAGTAACACAGTTACAATTTTGTCAAGTGTTTTTATGTGTCAGATGCTGTGCTAAGGGTTTCATAAGTATTTGCTAACACAATCCTCATAACAACCCTTAGGTTGTACAATGGACTGAATGTTTGTCCTCCCCTAAAATTCATATGTTGAACCCTAATGCCCAATATGATGGTATTAGGAGGTAGGGCCTTTGGGAGGTGATTAGATCTTGAGGGTGAGGTCCTATAAAAACAACTCCACAGAGCTGCCTTACCCCTTCCACAATGTGAGGCAAAAAAAAAAAAAAGAAAAAAAAAGAAAAAAAAAAACAGCCATCCATGAACCAGGAAGTGGGCCCTCACCAGATACTAAATCTGTCGGTGGATTGATCTTCAGATTACAATCCAGAACTATGAGAAAAAATTTCTGTTGTTTATAAGCCACCCAGTATATATGATATTTTGTTATAGCAGCCCTAATGGATTAAAACAGGTAATTACCATTGCTAAATTCATTCAACAGATGAGAAAACTGAGGCACAGAGAGACTAAAAAATACACACAAGGGGATTCACTAGAATATGGTGAAGACAAGATTCAAACACAGATATTTGACTTTGGAAGTGCCCTGCCATATCCCCCAAAACAATATAGTTGACAGCATAGTTTTGATGTATAGATATATAAAAACACAAAGAAAACCAGAGAGGGGTCAGAAATATAACAAAGTATTTTTAGAAAATTACTATATGACAGAGATATAATTACAAATCTGTGAGGAGGAGAATGAGATATTCAATAAATAATAAAGAAAAAACAAAATTAGATCCCTGCATCATACTACATGTAAATATATAGCTATATACAGGTTGACCTCTAATATGAAAATCTGAAATCTGAAAATCTCCAAAATTTGAAAGTTTTTGAGAACTGACATAATGTCACAAATGGAAAATTTCACACTTGACCTCACATGATGGGTCTCAGTCAAATCACAGGCACACAACACACCATTTATTTAGCATCCCCAAGGGAAAAATAAAATTACTTTCAGTCTATGTGTATAAGGTATATACGAAACATAAATAAATTTTGTGTTTAGACTTGGATCCCATCAACAAGATACCTCATTATGTATATGCAAACATTACAAATTCTGTAAAAAAACTGAAATCTGAAATATTTCAGGTACCAAGCATTTCAGATAAGGGATACTCAACCTGAATATTAAAAGTCTTAACGTGTAAATTAAAATATTACAACTTTGGGAAGAACATGTAAGATAAAATCTTTATGGTCTCAGAGTAAGAAAAAATTTCTTAAATTATACATAATAAACTATAAAGAAAAAATTGCTAAATTTGAATATTCAAATAAAAATCTTTCTATATAGCAAAATATGCCATAAATAATTAAAAAGATAAACCGCAGACTGGATAATGATATTTACAATTTATGTAACCAAAATATTTTGTTAGGTAGACTACAAAACACTTTTATGAATATAAAAAGTCATATAACCTAAGGAAAAATAGACACAGGATATGAATGAGCAATTGATAAAAGAGCTAAAAGTTCATTAGACCTGAGAAACAATGTTCTACTATACTACTAATTGCATGACAAAAAAAATGAAATAACATTTTACCCAACAGAGAAGCAAAGATGAAAGTGAAATTCAGTAAAATTTCAAAAATTAGTGATGATGTGAATTAAACAACTTTCATATACTAAAAGCTGAAGTATAAACTGTCACACCAGGCCAGTATTACAAGATACACTGATAAGCAAAAGCATATATAGTAGCCTATGATAAGCCTTAGTTATTTGTGTCGAAATGGATAAATATCAAGTAACTATGTTGAGGAGAAAAAAAAAAAAGAAGTTGCAGAATGACACATGCACAGTTGACCCTTAAATAACACAGGTTTGAACTTTGAGGATCCAATTTTACTTGGATTTCTTTCAATAAAAGTTATATCGAATGCCCCTGCCTCTTCTGGCTTTTATTCTACCTCCTCCACCTCTTCCGCCTCTGCCACCCCTGAAACAGTAAGAACAACCCTTTCTCTTTCTCCTCCTCCTCAGTCTACTCACCATAAAACTAATGAGGATGAAGGGCCTTATGATGATCCACTTCTACTTAACAGCAAATATATTTTCTCTTCCTCATAATTTTCTTAATAACATTTTTTTCTTTAGCTTACTTTATTGTGAAAATACAGTATATAATACACATAATATATAAAATATGTGTTAAGCAAGTGTTTATGTTATTAGTAAGCCTTCCAGTCAACAGTAGGCTATTAGCAGTTAAGTCTGGGAACAGTCAAAAGTTATATGCAGATTTTCAACTGTGTGGGAGGTCGGCACTCCTAACTCCCATGTTGTTTAAGGGTCAACTGTAGTATGATACCACTTATATAATAACATGCAAACTCTATCTTGTTTATAGAATCATACATATGTATAAAATTATAAAAATAGGCATGGAGAAGTTAAAAATCAAATCAAGATAATTATGACCTCCAGGAAGGGGAGAATGGAATGGGATAAGGGGCAGTTATCCAAGGGATTTCAAATGTATTGGAAATGTTTATTTGTCTAAAATAAAGGTATGAAGCAAATATGGAAAAATGTTAAATTTGAAAAAGCTGGATGTTGAGTACACAGATGCTGACTATATTATTCTGTATACCTACCTTTTCATTTGCTTGAATTATTTCATAATATAGAGAACCAATTGTTTCATTTATATATATATACACATATATACACATATATATACATATATAGATTTAGGCTATTTGAATGGAAACATTCGTATGAAAGGTGAATGCATTCTGTGCATTTTATTAAATTTGAAAATGTAAATACATTACTTTCTAAGAGAACGTAGAATTTTTCCTTAATTGTAGCTTTTTCTACAATCATCTCAAAAAGTATTTGTTTGTCTGAAAATTAACTGGATACTTCACAAATTTGACTAATAAGAACTGGAATAATCTATTTGGGATCATTTCAAATAAGTGAATTACTGCAATGAAGATAAATAAATATATACATGGAGATAATTTGTTAAGAATTAAATCATTGAGAAGATGTTTCTCTTTCTTGCCTATGGTAGGATATAGCAAATTCCTGGTCCTTCTTTCGTTCCACAAATACTTATTAAGAACTAACCATATGTCAGGGCCAAAACAAACAAGTTTTGTAATTTTCCGGGGCTTCCTATCTAGTGGGAAAAGATAGCAATTAACAACTAGACAAATAAATAAATATCAATTGGTGGTGAGTGCTATGAAAATAAAGTGAAACCAGGCAATCTGGTGAGGGTGGTAGAGCTGAGATCAGAAAGAAAAGGAGAAAAACATGCAAGAGTCTGGCAAGAATAGCTTCCAGACATTTCCCCCAGGACTTGGATATGTACTTAGACATGCATAAATTCCCCAAAGTCTTCATATCTTTGAATTATATCTTCCCTTTTGAGACTTCTCTTTTGTAAAGAAATATTTTATCACTTGGCTAGAATAGCTGCCTACATGATGATGATTCCAGAACAACACAGCTTTCTTAAGATGTTGGACTGGGGCCTTAAAGGCTAGAATCTCAAAATCAAAGGCTAGGATCTCAAGACTCAAAGGTCTCAGAACTAATGAGATTCAAACTTGTGAGCCTTTGAGGTAGCTTACAAATATAGTAATCACCATCTTTCCCCCTACACATACACCATCTGACTCCCTTTTATCGCTTTGCTCTTCTTAGAACTTACGAAAACATACTCTTGTTTATTGGCTGTCTTCCACACCAGAATATAAGCTCCCTAAGAGTAAGGGTTTTTGAAGGTTTTGGCTCTTTTGTTCACTACTTGTATAATACCTGTGCATAACATGCGATCAATAAACACTTACTGATTGAGTCTGAATAAATGTTAAAACATTGAACTACAACGCTCTAACCCTACTGCCCTAAGTTGTGCCCCAATTGTAAGATACATAATTGTTTTTCTCTTTAGTCATATTACAAGCAATTCTAGGATAGATACTATGCTTTATGGTGCTTCTACATTCTCTCATCATGCCTAAACCAATACTGGGTATACTAGGCTTCTTAAAGGAATAATAATTATCCAAATGATTGTTTTTCATGTTTGTGCTGCCTAAAGGCAGGGCAATGGAGAAAATGACATATTAACCTGAGGGCTTATAGTTCTTACAAATCTGTAAGAGATGATAAAGACATGGTCGTAAGTTAGAGAAGAAAATAAACCATTTTGTTTAATACCTGTAGCCAACGCACATAGATGGAACTCTCAAACAGGGAAACTTATTTAAGCTTTTGATAAAAAGTTACTTAACTTGCAACCTAAATAATACAGTTATAACTACAAATCTGTGTTCATCCTGACACAGAGCCTGTGCTATGCCCAGAGATGTTTTGGAGGATATCTGTATTTAAAAAACAGAAGCTAATGGATGAAATGAAAGAAAATATGAACTACGGAAACTAAGATGAATACCAAGTACTTCTGACAAATGAAGATTTGCCTTATGTGTCAACTCACTGCTTGGTTTTGTTTGTTTAATAATTAGGATATCTCACAAACTTATATAGCACCTATTAAACAGTCAGCATTCAATAGGGCTGGTCCAAGCACAGAATTTCACACTCATATTTTAGAGGTATCTTTAGACCCACTTGTCTAAACTTCTACACTGAAGGGCTACTGGTTTGAAATGTTCAGAAGAACCATTTCTACAGGTTAAGACTCTGTCTCTGGGAAATCTTAAGGGAACAAAAAGATACTCCCTAGGGAGTGTCTGTTTAGTTTATCACTCCCAGTGGATTTTTCAATTCCTAGCAGAAAGCAAAGTCCTAAGTCGTTGGAAGAGAGAGCAGGTAAGTTTGGTAGGGGAGGTGGAAAGCAAAGGCCTATGATGGTATTTCTCAAAATAAGGTTTTATGAACAACATACAACAGAATCACCAAGAGATGCTTTTTTTGAAATGCAGTTCCAAGCCCACTGACTCAGAATCTGTCAAGGTACATATTAAAGCATATTGTCTTTCCAAGAGAAAGGCAGGGCAGGCTCTTGTATCATTCCTAGATCACCACTGTTTGGAGCATGGGCAATCAGGGAAGTGCTAAACTTTGGGAATGTGGGTAAAAAATGGGTCAAGAAATGCGACATTACTTGAAGTGGGTAAGTTATATAGATGAGCTGGATCAAACCAGACCACAGCAAAGACACAAAATCTGCGTGCTGACCTCTAGAAGTAATAATGCAATAAAAAAAAAACCTAGTTCTCAGTGGAAGGTATGTATCAAATGTTATTATAATTTATGATGAACAGATCTTTTTCTATAAGAAGCCAATAGTAAATATTTTTGGCTTTGCAGATCATACAATCTCTATTACAACTACCCACTCCACCCTTGTAGCATGAAAGTAGCCACAGACAATATGTAAACAGATGAGCATGGTTGTATTCCAATAAAACTTTCTTTATAATAATAGGAAGGATATGGTCTACACACCATAGTTTGCTAACCCCTGCTGTAGTCTGCCTTAGAAAAAGAAAAGTTTTACTTATATTCCAATCTGAGATGGTGTATGCTTCTATGGGTGTGAGTGTGTTTGTGCTTTATGCACTATCTGTATTTATAAATAAACTGGAAGGAAGTACACAAAATACATATGAATAATAATTTATTATGAATAATTTTGTGTTTCCCCTATACTTTCTAAATTTTCCACTACTTTTTATATGTAATTATTTTAAATTTTCCTTTTGTAACTCTTGTATAGTCAGAAAAAATATACATCATTTGAAAAATAAAGATGAAAACCAGTTAGCTTATATGTTCCTTAATAGAAAACCTCTGCTGGGAATTCATAACACCTTTTGTGTTGAAAACAATCAGGTCCTCACCATGCTTGCAGATAAAGTAAAAACTCACTCGAGTCCAGCTCATTGGTGCAAGCAAAAGAGGAACAGAAAGGACGAGGGCAATTCAGCAGTTAACTGCACAAGCATTACCCAGTGATCCTAATTTCCATGATTTTAATAATAATGAGTGAAACCCAAAGTGTTAAGTTGCACTTTCTACCTCAGCAAAACAGAGTGATAATTGTGCGGAGAATAATTTTATGGGTGAAGTGTGCCCTGTATTGTAAAAGATTAGAATAAAGTACTCTAATACACAATGTCTTAGCAGGTGCAGGCACTTACCTGAGCAATTAAAATCTTCTTAATATACAAATCACAGCCAATGAGACTGCTGGCATGACAGAATAGATCTTTCAGGACACAAAGTGTTTGTCTAAAACAGGTTTTTTTTTCACCCTGGCTTTATTTATTTATTTTTGCTAGCAATCATTTGTAGATCTTTTATTTGAAAAAGAAAATTGACCAAACATGGATAATTTGCTCCAAATATACCCAAGCACATTCATTCTCTTACAAATCCATTCAGACCACAAAAAGCTATTAAATACTTACTATGTATGAGGCACTGTGCTGGGTGCCGAATAGGCTATTTTGGGACCAATTATCATCTTCCCCACAAACAGAGGGAAGCGCTTCTAGATGATGGCTATGAGTTGTCAGGCTGGTAAAAATGGTCATTTGAGTCCTCTCCAGGTTGCTGGCATTCTGTCCAAGTGGTTCAATTCCTGGTCATCTTAGGACCATGCTTCCAAGATGCTAGACTAGCATAACAGAAGGCCAGCCCTCTGAACCTAACTTTGCAGGTGAAATGTTAAATAGAAATGAAATTAACACAGGCCCCGGCTCCTTTCCTCCCTTGTCTCTTCAACATATTTCAAGCTGGTTCTTGCCTTTATTCTTTATAAAAACTACTCTTATAAAGTCCCCAATGAATTCTACATTTTTAAATCCAGTAGTCAATTATCAGCAGCATTTGACAAGAGGCCATTCCTTCTGCCTCAATATTCTCCATCATCCCCTTGATGTGCAGGACATCACACATCTCCCTGTTAGTTCCTGTCCAGTCAAGTTGACTCTTCCTCTTCTTCTTGACCTCTGTTAAGTGCCCCATAGTTTAGTTAGTCCTACCTCCTCTTCTCTTCTCAATCTACAACTCACTTTCTAAGTGAGTTTATCAAGTCTTGTGGCTTTAAATTCAAATTATATGCCAACAATTGGCAAATTATTATTTTTAGTCCAGATTGTCTCCCAAAGACTAAACTCACCAGTCTAACATGACCTCTTACCTGGATATATAAGAGCTATCTCAAACATAAAATGTTCCAAACTGATTCTCACAAAGCCTGCATATCTTCAGCCCCCTAAATCTTAGCTTACTTCAATTGCATCATTTCAGCGACTCAGAGAGAAAACTTTGGTGTTATCCGTGACCCCTCTCTTTCTCTTATGCCTCACATTCAGACCATCAGGAAATCTGGTTGGCTCTACTTTCAAAATACACAGAGTCAAGTTCCTCTGGACCATCCCCACTGTCACATCAATGTCTAAACTCCTGTCATCTCTCAGTTGGACAACTGCCATGGCCTCTGGCAATAATCTTGGACATCAAGGATTACCATGAATATCTCATCTGCAGTTCATTTTGATGATGCAGAAATCAGTTCAGGCTGCCCCAAAAGGTTTCAGAGAACATGTTAACCATAGTATAGCTTTGATAGGCAGAGAAAATAAAATTGAATAGGTCAGCCTCCTAAAATACTACAAGATTTACAGGAAGTGTTTAAAACTCACTTCAGTGACACACTTCATCAATGACACAATAGTCTGTCTTCATATTTCAGACATGCTGTTGGGAATCATTTACTAATTTTTTAATAAATTAAAAAGTTATCCAGATTTGCATGATCAGTCTATCTGCATGCCCATCGGTAAATCTGTTTGGTTAAAGATATTACTGGCATGGAAAGGATGACCACAAATGTGCTCTTTCTTCTAGAGCAATTTTGGCTTCTCTACATTGACACAATCTTCACCACCACGGGAGGGAACAAAAACATCCCGGCAGTGAAGAGCCTGTCTAAGCATGAGTAGTGGGTTGCAGGTGGCTAGCACATCCCCAAGACCATCTCTAGAGGTGTTGAGAATGTCCTGACCCTTGTGACACCCAAGAGTCAACACATGCCTTTAAAATGTATTACACCTTTGCATATGGGTACACAGGAAATTTTATCAGAGGCTCAACCCCTGAGGTAAGGTCTAGGATTTGCCTTCTTAGAAAATAAACCCAGCAATTTTGATGCTGGTTGTCTGTGAACCACATTTTGGAAAACTCTAATGTGGTTCAGTTAGAATAGGGATGGGTTTCAGCCATCCAGAGATGAGGTTCGACCATGGTCTCCAAATCACTGGGTAATCCTGGCAAGGTGTTTCTAGCATTCTAAGCCTTCGTTTTTACATTTACAAAATAGAATAACAAGATATAAGCAGGTATTATTTTCCTGTTAATCAGTTCTGGTGAAATAACAGGAAAATGCTTAAAAACCCCAAAGTACCACACAAATTTAAATTACTGTTATTATTTCTTTTACACACATTGCCTTGTTTTTATTATCCCTAGTCAGATTTCTAGTAAAGTTTTAATTTGTGGGCCAGTTTTATATCCATGACCTTATTTGAAGCTTTTTTACATCTTTTTTTTTTTTTTTTTTTTTGAGACAGAGTCTTGCTCTGTTGCCCAGGCTGGAGTGCAGTGGTACGATCACTGCAACATCCACCTCCTGGGTTCAAACGATTCTTCTGCCTCAGCCTCCTCAGTAGCTGAGATTACAGGCACCCAGCACCACACCCAGCTAATTTTTGCATTTTTAATAGAGATGAGGTTTTGTCATGTTGACCAAGCTGGTTTTGAACTCCTGACCTCAGGTGATCTGCCTGCCTTGGCCTCCCAAACTGCTGGGATTACAGAGGTGAGCCACTACACCTGGCCTTGAAGCTATTTTAGAATTAAAAAAATGCATCTTTATAAATACAGAAACCACCTCAGAGTTTAGAGATGATTTATTTTATACACTTCACAAGAAAGCAGTGAAGCAATTGGTGTTTCCCCCTCACTTTATCAAAACTACGTGATGAGTCTTATGACATACAAAGTAATTAAAACCAGGAAAGAATAAGTATGACAAAAAAAAATCCATCATATAGAAAGTTAGACAATTTTGGGGAGGTGCAATACTGTGTATCAACTTCCATAAGAAAAGTCGCATCAATTATAAATCAACCACACAGCACAGAGATTAAATGTAGTAACTTCTCCTTGGGCCCTGAGAGGAAGAAGCTGGTCCAGAGATATCTCCTGCTTTAGCGGGTGGCAACAGGTGGCAATATAGCCAGGGGCAGAGTGGGTGTCAATCCACTATCAGTACATTGGCCTACCTCTATGTTCCCCTGCAGTGGCAATGGATCATCTCAAGGACCTGATGTCTCTATTTCTGTGATTGAGGGCTTTCTCTGGGCTAAGGGAGGTTGGTCAGTCCTGATACAGAGCCACCCAAAACTCAACCAATGAGGAATAGGAGACAGAAGAGGAATACCCCGGGTGCACCAATCCTCAAAGGAGCCCTCAGAAAAATGGATCCCCAATTTCCCACAGTTGTAATTTGATCATTAACATACCCTGTACTGACCCCTCAGTCTTATCTGGCTCTCCCCATGTGCTACCCCAGGTGCACCTCCTGGGATAAACTCTGAAATAACTACCTGTCCCCAAGTCTCTATCTCGAGGTCTGCTTTTGTGGAAACCCAAACTAACACCATGGGCTTTGGAATAAGATAAATTTTTATTCTTGTTTAATCACTTGGTAGTTGTCTGGTCTTGAGCAATTTACTTAACCTTTCTAAATATCAATTTTCTTATCTACAAAATATAGATGATAGTCACTATGCTTACTTCATAGAACTACTGTGGAGATTAAAGATGTAAAACAAATAGTATAGAAATTGACATTTAATAAATGCTAAATAAGTGCTGGCCATTGTGACTGTGGTTGTTAAGAGGGCATTTCAAACAACCGTGAGACACCATTCACTCCTATTAGACTAGGAGAAAATGACAAATCCTGACAATATTTAGTGTTGGTGGATTGTATTTTTTAAAATGGGGATGTTCACACTTTATTGTTGGGAGAAGCTGTTATGACTATTTTGGCAAGCAGTTTGACAATATCTAAATACGGATACAGAGAATGCACTCATTTCATTAACATGCTCATCAATGGGGACAGATGATAGGGAACTGGACCAAGTAAGCTACACTGTCAGTTTGACCAAGTTGGTGAGCCTCTCATTGTACAAGGTTTATTACTGAGTAGCTTAAACAACAGAAATTTATTTTCTTATAAATTTGAAGGCTAGAACTCTGAGATCAAGGTGTTAGCAGGGTTGGTTTCTTCTGAAGGATCTCTCTTTGGCTTGTAGATGTTGGGGTTCAGAAAACAATACCCCAAAATGAAAGCCTCAGAAGCAGCCTCAGAAGCAAAAGTTTTTCTCCAATCTTCTCCTGCCCTCCTGTCAGTCAGTCCCATTCTCTTCCAAGGTTAGCCATGGACACTAGAATTCGTCTTCCCCAAGATGAGTCATAGATATCAGAACTCCTTTTCCCTAAAGCCAGCCATAAAACCTGAAAGTATTACTCTGTTCCCTCCACCTTTCTGTGTAAAAACTGTCCACGAAGACATTATCTGACCTACCTTGTTTGATTGTAGGTCTATACGACCCCTACTCCAGAGAGGGCCCTGCCTACACCCATAAGGAAGGAATGCAAGCTTAGAGAGGGTGCTAATAATCCAGACAGGCAGGACTTGCTGGGCTTCCCCACTCACGCTATTAGCACTAGATCAAACCCTTTTTGTCCAATCATATTTCTATACTGCTATCCATACTTTGTGAACCTAAGCATACAAATAGACAATTTCCCCTGTTTCTTTGGGTCTTCATTCCGCAGGCTCTTGTATACACAAAGAGCCTTAAATACATAAGCCTTAAATAAATGTGTGTGCCTTTTCTCCAATTAATCTGCTTTTCACACGTTGATTTTTCAGCAAGCCTTCAGAGGGCCAAGTCCTTGGCCCCTGCAATGGCTATCTTCTCCCTGCATGGTCTTCTGTCTGTACCTTTCTGTGTCCTAATTTCCTTTTCTAATAAAAACACCAGCCAGATTGAATTACAGCCCCCACTAAAGACTTTATTTTAATTTAATTAACTCTTCAAAGACTCTACCTCTAAATACAGTCACATTCTGAGGTACTAGGGGTTAGGACATTAACATTAATTTGGGATGAGGGACAATTTAGCCTATAACATTTACAAACTAGGGAGAATAATGCCTATCATGCAAGTACTGGGTAAAAACCAATGAAAAATTGCACACTGAAAATAGAATCTTATAATTATCAAAGTAACTGAGGCTGCCCAATTATAATACTATGTATGTAGTTCAGGCCAGCTCAACCTTCAAGCAGACAACAAATCCTGCTATGGTCCTTTGCAGCAAATAAAGATAGAAGAGCATCACCACATTCTGTGACAGAACCACAAAAACATAAAGGTCAATCCTTTCTCCTAAGGTGCTCTGGCCAGGCAAGTCACCTGAACATCAAGGCTATAATTACGCACCTAATTATGGGGTGCCTGGTTTTTGTTTGTTTATGTTTCGATACAGACTCTTTAACAAAAGATATGAGTCCTTTCTTAAAATACATGGTGGCAATTTGACACTATGTCCTGCCACCCAAGTTGTGTTGGGGGGAAGCCATAGAAAGTTGGGGTCATCACATGTTTTATCCTTGCCTGCCTTTGATCATGCTGATGTGGTTCTCATGTTCTGCCAGCTTAATCCAAGCACTGCACGAAGTAAATTAATTCACAGGTGAAATCTGTTGAAATTAAAATATATGTATGTATCAGTTAGTTTATCATATTTCCCTCTCCAACACAGATCATAGTTATCACGCCACCAAAGGTGCAAAGGCTGCTGGAAGTCTGACCAGTTAGGCTACTCAAAATCACATGGGAAGGGGCACCATGAAGCTCTCAACTCTGGCCCTCTTACACTCTATCCTTCGTCTGACTATGACCCTTGTCAAAGAAAGGATCCAGCAGCAATTCAGGAAATACCTGCACTTTTCACTCTAGCTTCCCCAAAGCTCTCTCTCATTGATGACAGAGACCTGCCCATCTGTATTCCCTCTCATTCATTCAAATAAAGTGTGTGATTCCCCCCAAAGACCAGAACACAGCCTGTGCCCATCAAGGCACTTATAAACTGGAAAGAACTTCAGCCTTTAGAAGCCAAGCACTCGCATCAGCACATCCTAGCCAGACCTGTGTGGGGTTCTGAACGTGGCTACTTAAAGTGCCCTTTCCATGTGACTTCTCCTCCTGAGTCACTTTCAGTGAGCTTTTCTCTACTAATCGCATCACTGTCTGAACTCCACAGAGACATCTACACTTTCCTTGGAGGTTTCTGCCTGATTTCCAAGTAATGGTAAGAGTGTGGCAGGGCCAGGGGGACCAGCCCCACTTTAGCTGTAGGGTCCCACTACCCACTCTGCTCTATGGCCTGGCCAGCACTTATGATGCATTGTCCCATCACCTGCACCACTTACAGCACAAAAGCTATTTAGCCAGTGCCTGCAACCCTTCAGCCTGCGATGCCTTGACAGCAGAGGTTATAGCAAAAAAGAGAGAGAGGGAGAGGGGGAGAGAGAGAGAAAGAGAGAACAATGTGCAATCGGCACTGCATTAGAGATGGAAAAAGTACTTAAAGCCTGCAACATTCATCAAGACTGAATACATAAATGCCACATTTTGAATAAGCGAAGCAAAAGACAATGACAAAGGAAAGGCGCATTGCTTCAGGAATCTCTATCATTTTCATTTGCTGCTGTCAGGAACCTGTTTTTTGCCTCTCACTCTATCAGCCATTATAGCATTAATGAAGTAACCTCACATAGTTATTGACTGGCTTGTCAGAGGCCCTGCCTGATCCCTTAATAGAAACCATTGGTCTTCAGTTAAAAATGGGGTGAGCTGGGAGGTGCTGTGGGCATGTGCTGAATTTCAAGTGCACTCCTGAGGTTATCAAAAGCCATGAAATGCAAATTATTATATTTTCTAAACACACAGATTTCATGCAACTGAGCATATAAAATTGACTAATATTGTACTTTATGCATGCCTTATAATGTTTTCAAATATGCTCTGCATATGTTCTTCTCCCAGAAAGTTGTGGGTGGTATTTGAATAAGTAGAGGTAGGCCTAGTTTTATTTTGTTGCTTGAGTTGTCTTCTGTTTGCTGCAAGCCGGCACTTCTATCTAATATAGAGCCATGTTGGTACGCTGTCTGCTCAAACAACACCATCAGTCCCCTTGTCTGAATTTCAGTCTCAGATCAAAATTATTTTTCTCTCACAATTTTCTTTCCTCATCTAAAGGTATCCAGCTCTTCAAACTAGCATATCATTTTCTAACAACTGCAGATTGGCAGGAAGTCTAAGGAATAAATTCTTATCCAAGAAGGCAATACACTGGAAAAATAATCCTCGATGCAGAGTTGTTAATTCCAGTAACATAATACTATAGAATAGATATGATAAAATGCAAGCACAACAAAACAAAAAAGGGTAAAATATGAAAAGTCAAGGATAAAAAACCTTGGAAAGTTGATTATACTTCTGAATCAGAAAAAGCCAAGACAATGATTACAGGGTTAAGCTTGAGGGGGCCTTCAAAGAGACACTGATAAGAATGCATAGCTAGCATTGTTTTTTTGGGCACATAGAGTGCTAGCTTCACATTGGTATTTAATTGGATCATTCTCGCAGTATAAAGTTTTGACCTTTTCTCAGCTTCTCAGGAGAGGAAATGTGGCATCTATGTCTGTTGATTTGCATGATGGCTCCCCAAAACTGGCTCCCTCTGACAGTAGATTATGTGCATTTCTCACCTTTGGGATCATCCAAAAACTATGAACAAGAAGCTCAAAAATGTCTTCTCTGCATATTTTATATTCAAATACTTGTTGCTTCCCTTTGCCATCAGCACTATCTCAGTTCAACTGCTTCCTCACATGGACAATCTGTAGACCCACCAAAATACATTACATTTTCTCACTTGAGAATAAAATTAAAGACCTAAGACTTAGCCACTATATAAATATTAATGAGTCAACTTCTAAAGTTTCAACTTAGTTGAAAGAAATATTAACTGGCTCCCATTGTTAGCCTATTATATTCAAGCAACTATACATTAACCTAAAGAAAAACTGAATATGCATTTTCTTCTAAGCCATTTTGCTCTCTTTTAGACTGGACCCAAATTCTTCAATAAAAACATATTTATTGTACTTTCTTTTCACATGTCCACAAAGCCCACAAAACCTAAAATTGCAAGGATACAAACTCTTCTTGATCTCTAGCATTAATAGCGGTCATTTATTGTTTTCATTAGAAAGACATTTAGCAGGTGGTATATAGTATGTTCTAGCTGCAAGCAAAGATTACCAGCTTTTTCAATGTTTAAGGTCAAATCAAAGATATAAAAGTACAGCCAACTCGTAGCTACTTTGAAAGCTCTGTCACATTTTTGATGTCAATAAACATATAATTATACATTCATATAGCTAAAACTGTAACCTACCTCTATGCCATTTTAATTCAATGTTCTTATGATAGTCATAAATAAAATAGAGGCCCAAATAAGATAAGTGACTTGTTCAAGGTCATATAATAAGTCACTGACATTTACATGATCATTTATTCAAGATATATTTATTTGAACACATTCTATGTATGAGGCACTGGAGTCAGCCCTGAAGACATAAAAATTATAAATACTTGGTCCCTAATCATGTGAAACTCATGATATAGTGGGGAACAGGCACTGTTTAATAATTTGTCATCAGTGCTCTAACAGGAGAAGCGCAGAGATACTGTGCTGGAAGGGGAGCAGTAAGAAAAGGCTTCCAGAAAAAGGGATATTTAAGTGGAGACTTGAAAGATAGAATGGATTCAAGCATATAATGATAACAAAATGAGAATGGAGAGTTTAGTGTTAGGCATTCAGTGAAAGATATGGCATGTATGAAAGCTTGGAGGTGAGAGGTAAGGTAATTTGTTCAAGAAACAAAGTCAGATCATGAAGACCGGAATGTAGACTGTGAGGTGAGAAATTGGAAAAGCCAGCAGAAGCCATGTTATGAACAGCCTCTGGATCAAGGCAACGACTTTAAACTTCCTCCTTAGAGCATTCTGAAGTTATGGAGGGTATTACGCAGGGAGGTGAGCTAATCAAATTTATAATTTGTAGAATCAGCCTGGCTAGAACTGAAAGGAGTAAGATGCAGGGCTGGAGAAAGAGACCAGTAAGAGCTAAAACAAAGGTGAGAGATAAAGATGAGGATGATAGCGGTGAGGATAGTTGAAGGCCTATTTAGAAGTGAGATTGACTGACCCTGGTGATGGGAGGGAACTGGAAAAGGAGGAGGAAGTAGGAAAGAAATAGGAGGCAACTATGCCTTCCACATTTCTGGGTAGGGCTACTGGATACTTGGTGGTTCCATTCATTGTGGTAGATAGCAGATGAGAATCATATTTAGATGAAAGAGAATGATGAGTTCAATTTTATACAAGTTAAATGATTAACAATCATTTCGGTCACCAAGTGAATAAATACAGCAGAATCTCAAAGCCAGAATGGAATCCGGGCCTGCAAACCAGCAGTCCAGTGTTCTTTCTCTGTAACTGTATGAATAATGACTCCTTCCTGCCCAAAGTGCTGAATGTTGAAAGCAGCTTTCTAAAAATTAACTACTAAAGAACTCCAAGACACAATAGAAGGCTTCTTTAGAATATGCACCTAGACTTTTCAGTTTTCACTAGGTTTTCTAGTCTCAAAAGTCATAGTACAACTTTTACCCAGAACATTATTAGTTATAAAAGAAAAAAAATAAAGAAACATCTTACCCTTTACGCATTTACCACTTTACAGCTCACAAAGCACTTTCACAAATGTAAGTTATAGCATTTAATCTCCTAAAGGTAATGCCTTTTGTGCTGTTTCTCGTCACTGCTATGACATACACTGCCACAGTTTACAGTGAAGTATCTTTGTCAACCCTATGATCTTGCTGGGATAGTTGGGTCCAGCCAGGTGCCTCCAAACAATCTGTTCTAAATGTGCTCCTTTGTAAATAAGGGAACTGAATTAAAACACCCCAAGGTCCTGTCTGGCTTTAAGATTCTGTGATTTTAAGCCTGAAGCTTGGGGTTCTGGAATACTGAATTTATAGTATGTTATTTATAAATCAGAGATGCACATAATGAGGAAAAAAAATGCAGACCATGTCAGAAAACACCGAGAGGAAAATGAGAGCAGGAAGTAAGAGCTTTCATGGAGAAATCATTGCTGGGATAGTGAGACCTCAAAGCTAGGAGAAGAATGAAAAAAGGTAATATAGTAAGGAGCGTCGGACACATTCTTTAATGTGATGTTGACCCACATCTACTCAACTCATGCTCTCATTTCCCCAATTCAATGTGCAAGAGCAGGTTCTTCAGCCACTGTGTGCTCTTGACACCTCCATCAAAAGACATGAAGGGAATAATCATATTTTCACCCTAACAGCATTAAGAAGGAGTAAGCTCTTTATTCTTTTTCTTGTTTTTCATGGTAACAAACTACAATAACTATGAGCAGAATCAAAGACTTCAGGAGAAGCAGAGGGAGTGAGGGAGAAGAAAGGTGTTTGTTATTTTATTAAAGTGTGGGTACTGGCATATAATTTTTTAAAACACACACACACTACCTGCACACCCATTACACATACATACTTATCTATATATACACAGGTCCTCTACACAAGTGTCTGTGCACATCTGCTCTCACACACATCACACATACACACAAACACACCCCCACAACCACACATGCACACATCATTGTGCACACTCATACAGGCACATTTCCTCTTTTCTCAGGTTGCATATCCCACCTACCCCCTCCCGCAGTGGACTGGCCACTAGAAAGGACCCTGCAGTTTGGTCTGAGAAACAGTGGTTGGAGCTTCTGGAGACATGGTCTCTCAAACTCTACTTGCCTTGCTTATTTTTCTTAACGTGCTGTCAGCATGACACTGCCAAGTGTTCTTTCCTCATAATGACAATATTGCCCATGGCTCGTTTCTTCATAGGAGCAGAGAAATGAGTGGCCCATATACTGTTCTGCTCAAGCCCATAATTTCTGCTTTTTAAAATGTGTTTAATGAGAGGACTTGTCATTTGTGGAAAGGGGCAAAAAAAGTAATGGGCACATTTAGATTTTCCATACTAATTAGATGCTTCTTCCCAGGAAAACATATGGGTTTTTAATCAAATCTCCAAAGTTTCTTGGTCTCCTGGATTAAACAACTCCCCTTCTTCCTGATCTGGCCCTGCTTTTGTTTCATTATGCAGATCTGACCTTTATTTTACAAAGGTGTTGGCACTGAGAAGACACTATGAAAACTCTCTCTTCCCAGAGTTGAATTCAAGACACTTACCAGTCCCAGCTCTGAGCCTGGCACACACTTTTTGGCTGCCCACAGGTATTGATGCTCATGAACACTGTCTCAGGTGGACCTCAAAGATTTTACTAGCCAAAGTTTCTTAGGCCAAAGACTATCTCCAAGCAAAAGAGTAAAATAAATTAAATCCCCAATGGCATCCTGAGACCTGAGAGTGTCATAATGTCCCCAGCTTCCATTTCATACAGTCTTTCGCATATTTTTAGCATGCAAATGGGCCATCTTTTCTTCTCTTTCTTTTATTTTTTAAGGATTCAGAAGTGGCAAAATAATTAGCATTCAGTCAGCTCAAGATGACATCCATTTACACTCTTACAAGAGGGTCAAAGTGGATGATGCTGCCCTGCCAGAATCTTGTTTTTTTCCTACAGAGGGATACAATCTGCAATATCCAAATATATGAAGACTTTGAATACCTGCGCTGGGTTATTCGAAACTCCAGTAGAAATACCACTACGGGGAAATTACTTAATCTGCTTCAAGATTTATCACCACTGTGCTCTATGCACCAGGTTAAAACAGAATACCTCAGAGAGTCCTCAGAGGGTCAGGAGTCCAAATTGCACTGCAAATATTTCACAGTGCATTACAAAGTTTTGGACAGAGCCTTTAATCCACAACATTATTAAACCCTAGCTTTGCACTGATATGCATATAAAAACATTCCGCCAAATGGATCTGCTTTACATTGCCCTCAAAATATTGCTGCAACACAGAAAAGGATAGGAACCTGAAACATTCTATGGCTCACAGGGGTACGGTTTATCAAGAGGTGAAAGAGAGTTTGTATAAAGCAAAAAAAAGGAACTATTGTGTTGGATTGATTTAAAACTAAAAATACGCTGTCAAAAAATAGATTTTTCACCTGTCAGGCAGTTATTTTTACAAATGTATGATATGGGTACTGATTAGTGAAAATGCTCTTTTCTACATGAATTATAATATAAACCTTTGCTTCCTTGCCGTTCATCTTAGAGTCCCCCCTTTTGTGCGACTCACTTGTATACTGTTTCAGTTTCTAGGGAAAAGGTTAAGAGACACATTCACTGCAAAGTAGAATTGATCTTTCGAAACCATCAAGTGGGCTTACAGTGAAAAGAGGAAGACAATGCACAGCAAAAACAAAGAAACTTCTGCACTGCACGGAGGCTGTCAGTACATAGGCACCAAATTCTCTTTTCATATAGGAAACACATGAGAACTAGCTCTCTCAACACTAGTGCTGACATTTCTCTGAAATTCTTATGACTTTGTCATCATCCCACATATTTTCAAAACAAATTGTCTAGTGTTTGTTTGCCTTAAAAACAAGATGCCATTGTCCTAAACAAGAATGCGACTTTATAGTAAAAATGTCACTATGAAAACACAAGAAAAAAAAAAGACTCAGAGGAAATAAAAAATAGAGTCTGAGTAGCCTTTCTAAGGGCCTGAATATTAGTGATTAAAAGTGATTTCAAAAACGACGCCAAATATATTGAAAGTCCTCTCACAAGAATACTGTGTGAATAACGATAGGATATTTAAAGGCAATTTGTTTTTATGACACTTTTTTTTGAACTTGCAGAAATTAGTGACAACAGCAACAAAATCAAGGGCTATTGACACCTCGTAGCTGAAAAGCAGAAGCTGGCATCATTTTGCAACCTTGTTTTCCTTGGTTACATGCAGAGGAAAAATAAAATATATCTGGCAGTTGAGAAATGGCAGAGTACTCTCTGGAAATTGTATTATAGATTATTTACCAAATGAATTGTTTCTCTTTATTAAGATGTGAAACAGTAGCACACAGAAAAAGCAATGCAGATGTAATAGAAAACCATGAGGCAACACCACCTCTAAACCTACTACTTTTTTAAGTAGGTTATGCCGAGCTGTGATTTTGGTGATATTCCCAGGTCTGTTTGGACAGAATCAATGACTCATGTCAAAAAGCTACCCTTCTACTCTTTTCAGAAAGTCAGAGTTGAGAAGTGATAAAATTAAGATAAGACCACACAATCTGTTCTATCTTTCTTTAAAAAAATGCATCCAAAAATTTAAAAAATGAAAAATCAGGTCATGGGATCTCACTCATTTACATAATGATGAATGGAGCATTGCAAGCGATGAGTACCTGACAATTTTTATCAGATATATTTCAGCCTGAAACAACATACCATAGAATTCAGCTCCTAAAGGAGAGCTTTCTGAGGCAGTTTCTGTGAAGGAATGGAATGAAGGCAGGACTGAGATGCTGGGAAACTCGGACTCCAGACCAGATTTCTTTCAAGACATCAGTGAACCTAGTGTCAGTTATTTCACCCAAGTTTCCTCAGCTCTTCCAGAAAGATTAGCTATGTCTATGGCCCCATCCAGCTGGAACAGTCTAATTTGTATGAGTCGTAACAATTGTAACAGACTTAATTAAACTTGCCTGTCAAATTTTATTTTGGTTGTCTTCATAAGTAATTTCTGAACACTCAGTGATCAAACTCTCTGTAGTGTTAGCTGGAGGTTTTCAGGTGGCCAAAAATACGTGTCAGCATTCACAATAACAATCGAGATATCACTGTCCCCACTCATTTCTGTGCCTCTGTGGCTTGCTACTGAAGCATCATTGCATTCTGGGGAATAAAGATGCAGTCTCCTGCACTCCATCTTTCTGCAGTGATCAATGCTCTGATACTCTTTGCTTTGCCAGTAATACTTGTGAAGTTAAGAGGGCTATTTGCTGAGGAGAGAGGCCACTAAAATAGTCAGTGCTAAAAGGTAAAATAAGCCTAGAAGTTTAAGGAAATAAGAAAATAAAATACTGTCAAAGAACTATGAAGAATCAGCAAGTGAGCCACATAGGTAAAAGGAATGAATTTAAAACAAAAACAAAAAGTGTTGAGAATAGAACACATGTATAGGAGTAAGAGTGAGAAGGCAATGATTTTAAAGACAATAAACACACATGGCTAGGGCTAACAAATCAGAAGCAATGATTACCTTATATAAGAGCATATTCACTTAATGCATGTCCTCTTAGGTATCCATTTCCCACAGATAGCCTATCCCTGCTGCCTACAGAAAAAGGGAAAAAAGAGGCTCCATTCAAGTAGAGGATTATTAAGCAGTCATTTGAATGCAGGGGCCTATAAAGCCATTCTAAGTCATATTTTTGCTTTTTTTAATTAAAAAAGCTTTAACTCTCCCCTCCTCACTTGCAGACTGAATTGGTATGATCCAGAGAGGCAGTTATACATAAGAGCAACCACTCTCTATTGAATTAGGAGATCTCTCATGCAACACATCTCACCAATTACAAGGTAGGGATGCAATTCTATGATTTATCATACATTACACTGTTAAGTAATATAACATTATAGATACAATTTGTACCTATCTCTCTGCAGATTAGAGAGGTGGCACATGAAGAGAGGATCATTAAACACAGAGCAAGGGCAAGGGCCAAGCTCATCTCTTTAACAAGCTGCTCCAAGTACCACCTCTCTAATCCATGAAGAGAAAAGAATAAATTGTTCCAGTAGCTTATTCCACACCGTGCTCTTTGGAGCTGGGGGTTTTATTAAAACAAAAATATATAGGAAAGCATCATTTCTTGTGGGACATAGCTCTCCCGATTTCAGAGGCTGACCATAGAACTAGAAAAGAACAACTTTGGATTTATTGGGATGATACCTCTCATTCTGAAGGTGATGAGATTCTTCATGCATGCATGAATATGGATGTATGTGTAGATGCATATCACAATGGAGGCTGCAAATCCATAGCCCACATAAGCAGAATGCAAATTGGTACTGTGACTTAAATGAGACCAAATTATTGAAATTTGATTCCTAGATAATATCAGTTATGCATTACATTAGGCCACTGATGTCCACCAAAAATGTAATGCAAGCCACATATGTAATTTTACCTAGCAGATAGATTTTAAGAAGTAAAAAGTAATGGGTGGAATTATTTTAATTTAATATTTTATCTAACCCAATGAATCCAAAATATTATCTTTCAAAAATGTAAGCAATATTTAAAAAAACATTGATGAGATATTTTGCATTATTTTCTTCATACTAAGTCTTTGAAGGTCTGTATGTATTTTACAACTAAAGCACATCTTACTTTAAACTAGCCACATTTCAAGAGTTCAATAGCCACACATGGCTCGTGGCTACCATACTGGATAGTGCAGCATTAGGAATATGTGTCTTCTGTGATTTCATGGTCTCCATTTTGGCTTTGCTGCTTGGAATTGAGTGTATTTTTCAGCCACTTTATCCAAATAAGCAGAAGTCCTCAGAAGTAGAAATTGGATGAAAATGACATTTCACTGCACTGAATATAACCCTTTTCAATTCCACTAAGATTTAGGCTCCTGCTGTTGAAAAGGTGAGCTCTTTAACCTCATCTGTTCTGTCTGTACTCCCTTTCTAAACCTGGTAAGTGTGTACATAAATATCCACTTAGCAGATATCTCAGACTACTCTTATTAGAACAACATTTGTAATATTCTTTCCTCTATAAGTCTTCTGTATTACCACTTCCAGCTTTATTACACTCACTTAGACTCTCTTTTGTCCCGACTACACCCCTTTACAACAGGAAAATTGTATAATCTGCTTGAATGGCAGTACAATGAGGTAGGCAAAGATGTAAGGACACCGTTAGGCTGCCTCATAAACCCTCGCTTGTCTTGGGACAAGTCATTGATTTCTATTGGCAATTTCATTGTAATGTCAAACTGTAACTTGATTTCATTCTTTGCTCCCCTCTGAGGTAAACAATGGGCCAAAGAGTAGAAATAGACCAAAGGAAGCACAGCAATTAAATTACTATCAGAAATACTTGGGTAACCTGACTTGTCCAGTATCTGAGAAAACATAGGTTGGGCCCGATGCAATAACTGAAGTGCCCCCAAATTAGTATCTGTCTATGGACCTTGGAAAAAGTAATTCACCTGTGACCAGAGCTTGAGAACCAGTAAGGGAGAAATAAAAGTTATTTGGGGGAGGAGAGAGAAGGCAGAAGTTCATTGTTTCCATATTAACCTTGCTAGTTCTACTCATTAAGACATACAATTCTTACACATATGTGATTGTATGTTTGTTGGAAAGGCCATGAGTTCAGGAGTAAGACAGATTTGTCTTAAATGTTTGTCTCTATTATTTATTTGTCATATGATATTGGGCAAGTTTCTTGGCCTCTATGAATCTATTTTCCCGTCAGTGGTAATGGCTCAGCATGATGTTTGCCCAGCTGCAGCAGCCTACCTGTGTGCTCCTGCGACCACTGTACGCTCAGCCATACTTGAGCAAGCGAAGGACATGGTTCAATGTTTGCTCAGGAATCAGGCATATGGTAATAATGACTGAGAAGTAGGTTTCTATTTGGGTTTTAGTGTTTATAAAAAAAATAATTTTACACAACTCCATATGCTGGTACCACTGTTTTTCCAGCAAGATCTCATTCTAGGGAGCTACCTCACATATTTTAAACAATCAGTCAATCCAAAGTTCTTTGTGAATATATGTCCAATATTATGGCTAACTACTTAGGGGATGGGTCAGTGCAGATGGTAGCAGTGTTCACATGTACTCTGTCAGGAAAAGACCCAGAATAATTTCTTCTCTGTACTCTCAATGTTCTTTGTTGTATTATAATTTGAAATTACACTAGAGTGTATTGCTCACCAGACTATGACTAGAAGCCACGATCATTGTCATTTCCATTATTTTTTTTCCAGTCCTGAGATATGATTGTTTTACAGAAGTCTCATATGCTAATATATACAAATACACACACACACACTAACATACACACACATACATACATATATAAACATATATATACACACATATGTTGTGGTTATATCTGTAAGCATTTATAGAACACCTAATTTATACATATATACATATGTATATATCAGCATATGGAACATAATTCATTATATTTTAACAGAACCTTACAACATTCAAGCACTTCTTTACACCATTTTATTTGAACGTCAGAGCAGCCCTGTGAAATCAGTTCAACATTGCTGTCCCACATTTAGGCTCCTGATGGATTAAGATTGTCCGATTTCACATTGCAATCCAAACCCTGTTCCTTGGATTAATGGATCCTGGATATTCATTTATAGGCCTCTGCTGGTCCTTTACAATTTTAAGTGGTCCATGTGGGCAATGCCCACGCCCTTTTGCTATTTCTTTCTTGACTAGAACTCTCCTTAAATCTAATATTGTGATTTCTTTGGCATTCAAAGATCCTTTTATATATAAAATGATGTTAATAGATGAAAGGGGCCCTTTAAAATGTACTGCCACATAAAATGTTGACAAACTTGTATCTGCCCCTTATTAAGAAGAAGAAAAATAAAAGAAAATAAAGAAAAAACAAAGATAAATTTTTAGTGGTCAATGAAAGCACAAAGCTAGGAACCACAAAGTTAGATAAAAATGTGTTGCATGATTCTTTCGCTCAAGTATTCCACCCTTTCTGTGGAAAACAAAGCTGAGACAGGAAAGAATCAATGGGTAATAAACTAATAAAGTATTCCAGCTGAAGGGAATTGGAGGGGAGCTAGACCAATAAGGCCTGTGGCATCAGCGGAGAAAGGAATATGCAGGGTTCAAGACAAGAAAGAATTTATTAGAAAAACATAATAGAAAAAAGAGAAGAAAACCCAAAGCACTTCAGAAAACTCTTCTTTTGCACGATTTTTGGACAACATATAAGGTTTGACTCAAGAAATAGCAAGGAAGAGGTAAATCTACTCATCTGGGAAGCAAGTATGTTGAACACATCAAGCTCGGACACCATCTTGCATGTTGCTTGTTTGCTTAGCTTTTCTTAAACATGGTTTATTCTTCTGTAAGATGGGGGAAGCTTAAACTAATAGATCTTGAAGACCTCTTCCACCTCTAAGACCTGTTACTCACACAATAATAATAATAAATCTATCATTATACTGAGTATTATCCAAGTACTATTCTAAATCCTAATAACAATGCTGCATGATAGAGATTATTAGACCATTTTACTGATGAGATAACTGAGACCAGGAGAGTCTGACCTACCCAAGGCCATGAAGTCAGCCAAGTGGCAGACCTAGAATTTGAACCCCACTCTGCCCTTTCATTATTCTATCAATTGCCTCTCTTCAGTCTACTCTGTCATAAAATACTTATCCAAAACCAGTTTTATAAAGAAAGACACAGCTAAACCATAAACACCTATCAATTCTTCACTGACTACTACAAGAATAACAGAAATACTCTGGAGCTACCCACAAAGCCCCTTGTGAGCCAGAGATGACCTCAATCATCATATCCCCAATATGCAATGAGATCATTTTACCTGATGGGGATTTTTCTTTTGAGATAGATTTGCATTTAAAGCCTGATAATTATAACATAATATTCATAATATTCAAACTTGAGTCATATTTGAAATTCCTAAACTAATACAATCATTAATACCTACTATAATATGTCTATTTGTAATTAAGCAAAGCAGAAATCCTGTCCAGGCCTGTCTCCTTATTCTCTTCCAGGGGCTTTCAAAAGACAAAAAAAAATTATTATGGCTAATGTTGTTGGATTTGATCATTGACTTCTCTTTTCTTCATCATTTAAAATACCCAGTCGCCATCAGCCACCACAATAGCAGGAGAACTGTGGACCGTCACAAATGGTGTGACAACTGGGGATAATCCCCTGCCAAGGCAGGGGTGATAAACAAATGCAGGCCATTTAAGTCCACGGGCACCTCAGCAAAGTCCTCAGAGCTGGGGAGGGGAAGGGGAAGCCGCCTGGGAGGGCTTGGGAATTTTCTAGGCCGGATGCCTTACTTCTCTACACCTCCATCTTTAAACTGTAAAACACTTACCTGACATTCCCCTTTCTGTTGCCTGCTTTTTTGCCAACAGTTAACAAGGCCAGCATGACCTCACCGGTCTTTCCCCCCTCATTTCATGCATCACAGTTCCGTTCACCGGGCTGTAGCCTGGGGTGGGCAGGTAGGCGGGCTAGGAGCACAGGCTGTCCCCAGGGCTCTCTGGGACTTGCCTCTCACAAAGCCAGAGCGGGGCAACATGGCTGCCGGCAGTGCCAAGAAGCCTCAGGGAGAAGAGGGAACAAAGGCGGGCAGTTCCAGAGGCCAAGATTTTGATTACAGCACTTCTCGGGTTTCTTTCAGCTCACGGTCTGGGTCAGCACGCAGATCTCAACCTCCCAGTCCCAGCAGAAAGTGGACGGTCAGGGAAGCCCTTGCCCTGAGAAGACCCTAAGCCATCTCCTGAGTTCAGGGTGGCCCTTGCAACACTTCCTAGCTCCTCTTCAATTGTCAGAGATCACATTAGTGCAGTTGTGAAGGTTTGACATAAGGATGAACAGAAGGGTTGTTACTGGCTAGTGAGAGGAGAGAAGTTTCCAGTCCAAAGGAGGAAAAAAAAAAATCCTCTCCTAATGAATAATGCTGAGAGTGGGGGAGGAGAGTGATGGTCTCTCTCTCTCACTTTGGCTCTATCTTTCAAGCTAAACCCACAGAGCACGGGCAGAAGAAAATAGCAACATGTCCCCATGTTGAAGAAGAAATTTTTCTGTTTTTTGTTTTAAATGTGAGTCTGTAAGGGCTCATAGTCATGTGCAGACACATATTGTTGCTGTTTCCCAAACCAAGGACAGTCCCAGAAGGTCAGCATTCAGACACAGGCACTTCGTGGCAAAGAGTGATTCTATTGTTAAGCCTTTTCTCAGTATCTCTGTCTGCCCTCACCCTACCTCAAGCCACTATTAAAACCTTGATATCATACCACCTCCTAATGGAAGCACAGCCGCTGGTTGACTGAGGAGTGGAGTGCCGGGTAAAGCTGTGAGAATCAAGTCTGGTAATGATCAGACAGAGAGAGTGCTAAGGAGCTCCCAGATCCTGCAAGAGGTGGGGCCCAATGTGTGCCAGTGTGGGCAAGTCACCAAGAGGCCAAATAAAGGTCCTCACTTGGAAATGAAATGTTAAGCTTTCCCAGAAAATAAATTAAACAAACACAGTGACCCTTTAGATTTTATATCATTGCATTAATAGTAATAACAATAATAAAGCTGACATAGACTCACAACCTGTAATTTGTAATATTTAGCTCCATGATTCATATCTGTATAAAAGTTAAAGCATATCTTTCATTAATACCAATACAAATTGGATTTCTCTTTCTACCTCTGATTGACCCCACCCTCCACTTGTGATTAACTCTTCTGCTACCTCGTTTTCTCAGGTGCTTCCTTATTCAGTATTGAATCAAAAATCTGGGCTGTCCTTCCTGGAGGGCCCTTGAATCCTACTTAACCTGCCTGGTGTGATGTGCTCTGCAGGAGGGAAGCAATGAAGCAGAACGGGGATGATCACAAATTGAGAACTGTTCTTCCAAATAATAGAAAGGGAGAAATTAGACAAAGTGCCTTTCCATCATCTCCCCAATCCTTGTCCAATTTTGCATAAAGGATCCCTGGGAACTGTGAAAGGGAACTCTTTGCATTTGCAGAATGACCCCTAAAGAGGTCACTGTCACTCCCAAGGCCTGTGCAACCCTGGCTGGGGCTGCCTATTTCAGACTAGCCACAGGCAGACGGCAGACTGCGGTGTAGGGTAAGGAAGGTCACCGGGTTGGCCAGGGGATTCTCTCATCCAGTAGCTGTGTGTTTTGGAACCAACCTGGAAACATTAACACAAAGGCCTGCCAGTAAACTACATGGTGTTTGCATATCTTATATACACCGAAGGGATAGACAAATGCCTGGTGGAAAAAAAGGAAGAAAGAAAAATGAACTCAGCTATTAAGCAGCTATAAAGTGTTTTGCTCTCTTCCCTATTTCAAAAGCTTCCATAGCATAAATAGTGGTCAAAAGTTCAGTGAACTGTCTTGTAGTGCGGGGCTCCATTCAAACGGGGCTATTTTCTGAGAGTCTCCTGACACCATATCTAATTTCCAAAATGAATATGCTTTAATTTTCCTTCTTCATGCATTGTGCTTTTTCCTCATTTAAAACAGCAACAGCCTCTGGCAGTAAAGGACATCACATTTCTGTGTGAGATGAAGCTTTTTTCCCTGTATGCAAGGGAATGGCATGGGTCAGGGGAGAAAAAATATACGCAAAAACAGCACACCCCACTGACCCCAGTATATTTTACATTACAATTTTGCCATTTCCAATATAGGCTCATTTTGCAATGGACCATATCAACCATATTTCAGGGTTTAAAAAAAGGGGGGGTGTAGTGTAAGGTGAGGCATTGTCTGCATACGGTATGTCCTAGTACAACGCATGAATTGCATGATCAGGATGGAGTGTCACCTACAAAGAACATACACAGACACATACATGGCTACAGCACTCAGTGCAGAGCACATTTGCAAAATAGATACCACATGTGGATCCTGCCAATTAAAGGAAGCATTAGGGGAATTTTTATGAATGTAGCCAAGAAAGCTAACTATTTTTAATGACATGAATGTCATATTCAATGTTTCTAAGCTCCCTTGAAAGCACCAATGTCCTACTGCCTTACTGAGAAAAGACTACAAATAGAAACTGGGCATCTTAGCAATATGATTACATCTATGTATCTATCTATCTATCTATCTATCTACACATACACACACACACACAGAGAGAAAAAATCCTTTATATATATATATATATATATATATATATACACACACACACACACACACACATACACATACATACACACACACCTCACATATATATACATAGATACCTAGATATCTAGATATATTTATTTCTAGATATATAGACTTCTAGATAGGTGAATATGTACATCTCAAAAAGACCTAAATATAGATATATATGTCTCAAAAATATAGGTAAATATACGTATATAGAGATATATGTCTCAAAAGGATCTAAATCAGAAACATATTTAAGTCATCCTTTTATAACTCAGATACCTCCTAGAACTAAACAGCTAAATAAAATGGGGATTTTACAAGATGATAATCTTTTAAAATCGGGACATGTGTAGTAATTATTCACTGTAGAACATATAAAGATGGCACGTGATATTTCTTGCTGGGTCATTCCCTGTCATGAATCATTATTGCTGCATTAAAGAATTTTTGCTCAGCCAAGCCTTTGTCAATCAATCAATAAGTATTTTTTGAGCAAGATATATGGTAGTTGTAAAGTAGGTATGAAGCATGGCCACTGCTTTCAAAACACTTGCAGTTTAGTAGATGAAACCAAATGAATAGGCTTGAAATCACTTGAAAATAAGCCTTGGAATTTGATATACCAGATAAATCCTTGCTACTTGATTTAGACTGGCTTATGTTGACAATAAAATGTTTAAAGTTTATAAATTAATGCTCTCTGGAATAGTCAGAGGAGACCTAATGAAAGAGGTGGCACTTCATCTGGACCTTGAAAGATGAATTAGTCAGTGGGGAAAGAAAACAATGAAGGAAGAAGGGTTCTTTGGGCAGAGAGAACAGCACATGCAAAGACACAGAGGCTAGGAACTTAGGTATAATTTTGTCCACAAGTGTCATAAATATATAGGTACTCCAAGCAGGTACACAATACTCACAATAATGGAGTTATCTCACACACACACACAAAAGTCAGTGATCAGCAATACTGATTTGGTGCCCTAGCACCTTGGGTCCCAAGGCATTCATAAAACAAAAGGAAATGAATGGAAACTCACTTCACTGGACCCTGTCCATATGCTCAGTAAAGTAATCATCTCACTGAACGCCCATTACTCCCTTGTGGGCTGTGAGCTACTGTTCCATTTCACAGATGAGGAAACTTCAGCTAAGAGAGGTGGCTGTACCAAATGTCACTTGTAAGCACTGGTGAGGGGCCCCAGCAGCCTAACTTAAGAGCTCAGGCACATTTAAACAAACCATGCTTTCCTTCTAAGAGGTAGTTATGAGGAGAGACAGACAAACAAAAGCATGTATATCCTGAAAAGCCAGAAAGTAGAAACTTTCCACAAAGAGATAAATAATGGTCATATTGCAAAGCAAATGATAAAATTGGTGAACTTTGCTTTAGGAAAATCCTATTAAAATCTAAACCTATTAAATTGATATATTAGGCAGTGATTACTCATAAGATGGCAGCTCTCACCATGGGGTTACTTTAACCAGCAAGATCTCCTGGCACACTTAAAATAGGATTCCATTTACAATGAATGTCAGGCATGCTATAAAGAACAAAGTCAGTTGCCTAATACCAAAGTCTTTCAAGCTGGTTAGTTACAATATTGCCTTACATCAATCTTGCTCAGCATTGTCCAATAGAAATATAATGTGAGCAAAATATATAATTTTAAATTTTCTAGTAGCCACATTTTAAAGAAGTAAAAAGAAACGTGAAGTTTATTTTAATAATATATTTTATTTAATCCAATATATCCAAGATATTATCATTTAAATATGTTATCAGTGTAAAAATCATTGAGATATTTACTTTTATGTATTAAGGGTTTAACACCGGTATGCAGTTTGTATTTACAGTTTTGCTCAACTAAGACTGGCTGCATTTCAAGTGCTCAGTAGCTACATCGTGGCCAGTGGCTACTGTGATGGATGACACAGATCTAACTCTTTACCGAGAGGTTTTAAAGCTGCATTTGACTCTTATTGGAATAGATAACTGGGAAATATCTTAGTATTTTTTCTGTCACTATGACGGAATACCAAAGACTGTGAAGGAAATTTATTCAGCTCATTGTTCTGAAGACTGGGAAGTACAAGAGCATGGTGCCAGCATCTGGTGAGGGCCTTCTCATTTTGTCATAATATGGCACAGGACATCACATAGTGAGAAGGCAAGAGCAAGAGAGCCAGTGAGAGCTTGCTTTTATAAGAAACCTACTCCCATGATAAAGAACTTGCTTTCATGATAGCAACATTATTCCCATGAATCCATTAATTCATTCATGAGGGCAGAGGGATTGAGTTTCCAACACACAAATTTTAGGAAAACTCATTCAAAAGCATGACAGGAACCCATAATGGCACTTTAGTTCCAGGAACAATCTAATGTTGCAAGGTTTGGAAGTATTTAATTTCTTGTTCCTTAAAGCTCTCTTGTCATTAGTGCTTATTGACCTAGATAGAGGTAAATATCAGCAGATATAATTTTGTGGATCCAATGTTACAGTAGAAATTTAGAATATGTCTCGTTTTTTTCTCTTCTGCCATGGTTAATTGATGTAAAGTCTAGTTGAATGTTGCCACCTGAAATCTTGAATATGAAAGAATTTACTTCCTCCTTAATTATTTTCAATTCAGTAACTTCCAAAAAAGTCTTGGAAACAATTATTGTAAACAGAGTGGGAAAGAGGAAGATAAGTTAATTGCACCAGAAACCTGGGTATTAAAAACTTGATACAATTTTTATAAGAAAATAAAATATGGCTATACAGACACTCTCTGTGAAGAAAAGCTAATATTAGAGATATTCAATGGGAAGAGAAACTTCCAGCATATAGATCAGGCAAAGAAATGTTTGCAAGAAAACAACTCTACTCCTTGCTAAGAAGAAATGTTTTAATTCTGTAGCTGCAAGTAAATTGTTGGCTGAAAGAGGTCTCTTAAGTTGTCAGCACTCAGAAATACTGACACAACCCTTTGCGGCTGCTCCTCCTTCCCTTGGTTCATGGGTCTCTGGCCTTCACAAACGTAGCCTGGGCAAATCTTAGAGGTTCATCTACATCCAGAGATGCTGGGAGCAAAGGATCTAATTCCCCAAAATGAATTGGGTATCATGCAAGTCCCAAAGCACAACCTCATTCATTAGGGGCCTTCTAAGGGCTTTCGATTTGAGGGGAATCCTTCTCGATTCTAGCAGGCCAACTTGCCCAGAAACACTCAGCTCTGTAGCTATTCAACTAAATTGCCCCAAAGTTCTTCAACATAAATGAAACAGGTTTAATATCCTTGGGCAGGGATTATTCCTGGAGACGAGTTGTCATCACATTTACCACACAGGGGTAGGAGGAAGAGTCCAAGGTGCAAGGTGATCTGGCAAAGTAGGCATTGCTCAAGCATGTGTAAGGACATTGTTTCCCGTTTAACTTGCCTATTTTGTAAACTGAGAAACAGCAATGTTCTTCTAAAATATCCCAACTAACTAAAATAGCTTAAAGACTCTGGGAACTGTATATTGGCAACAGTTCAACAGTAAACAAAAGGAACAATAAATGAAGGTTTTAATTAGATCATTTAAATTGGGGTTGTAAATAAACTATGTTAAAGAGCAAACATTGGAATTTATCAAATGTGGAGTCCAATACAGACATTGCAAATCGAAATCACGCAAAAGACCTAAAAATATTGAATAGCTGGATCTTTTCCTCCAGTGCTTCAAGTCTGCATTCCTTTTTCCCATGATGCTCTGTTGATTTGCAATTTAAATTGTGGTATCTGTACCACATTTATCGCACCTATTGCTTATCCACATATAAATCTATTTTAGAGCTGAGCACTAAGTTAGAAAGATTTGTTATAAATGTCTTATTTTAATATTTTATGCATGTACTATAATTTGATTCAAAGTGCTGTTTGTCTAAAATACATAACGATGTGTGCTGTGATCGGGCTTCTGTTCTTCAGGAAATATATTTAAGGCAAAACAATTAACTCATCTGTGCATAACACTCGCAGAGTCTGCTCATGTTTTGAATCATTTTAATATACATTCATCTTCCACTCCTTTTATGAAATCTTGTTATAAACTAGGATATGGGGATCTTACCTTCCCTAGGTCTACATGGGAATCCTTTTCTAATTTTCCTCTCAATCCTCCTTTCCATAGTAAAGGAAATCCTCTTTGAAATTAGCAGGGTTTCTGCATGCAGACCTGTGATAAACAAGGCCCAAGAATTTAAATGTAAGAAAAGAAGCAAATATTGATTGAGCCCCTACTAATGCAAGGCACTATCCGAGAGCCTTCAAACATTCCATCTGCTTTAATCCTCGTAAAAACCTCTGAAGTGGCTACTATAATCCCCATATTACAGATGGAGTCACTGAGGCTTGGGGAAGATACATAAATTACCAAAGTCCTCTTGTGGATGAGTGGTGGAGCTTCTTAGACTCCAAATCCATATTCTTTCTGCACATCTTGCTCCCTCCAGTGCACTCTATTTTAATATAATCAAATTTGAGTTAGGACCATTCAACGTAAAGGCTAAGTTTTGTGATACATCACTCAGCTCTGTTTTCCAAAATTGCTGAAAACATCCTCCAGTGTCTAGTGAGTGACTAAAGAAATTGCATTTGTAATTCAATTCCTACAGTCTCCTGAAGATGATGAGTAAATATGGCTCCATTAAAAATAGTTCTAATGGTATGAAATATATAAATAAATAAGTAAATAAATAAAATGAAAAAGGAAACGGACAAAAAAGATAGATCCAGTCAATTTAAATCATATGCATCCATTCACACACTGATGCAAAGATTGACCTTGGAAAACATGGAATGGAGGGCAAATCCACCCGCACCATCTCAGCCCCCTAAAAAGCATTATGTGAGCAAAACCAGGTAAGTTAAGGAAAGCCTTCCCTGACAGGTTAAATGCCTTTATTATAGTCTCTCACAGTACCAAGTACCTTAGCCCTTGTCACAGCTGCAATTTTACATTTGTGGAACTATTTGATTAACATTGGCTTCTCCTATAGATTATCTCTTTCTTTTTTCTCCTTTCTGTGGCATTCCTGGCCCCTAGCACATAGTAGACAGTTAGCAATCATTTCTTGAATGAATGAACAAATGAATGATTGAAAGAATTGTATATTTCTGATGTTCATTTCACAGGAATTTACCTCATAGTTACACTTAGGTACATAAAACCCAGGCCAGCTAGTAAAACCACATCCCTCTTCCATGCCATTTGCTTCTCCTGGTCCTTGCCCTGTAGCCTGCTCCCTGCTGTTGCTTGAAACCATCCCACCACAGTGTGACACCTGAAGCAATTACTCTGATTTACCCCAATTAGCAAAGTCCTAATGAGTGTGTGTATGTGTGTTTGTGTGTGTCTATGTACAAGCAAGGATGAACTCTTAGGAGAGGGATAATATCACAGTCTTCCCTTTACTGGTTACATGTTAAGTCCTGCCATTGAGATGAAATCATGGTTACTTGAGGGCAAGATAACTGTTCATCTTTGCATCCCCAGCTCTAAGAATGGTGTTTGCACATAGTAAGTTCTCAACAGTGGAATCATTTGAGCCTGAAGCATTCCTGACGGGAGTGCTCATAGGAGCCTGAAATCATTCTGTAGGGAAGGACATTGCAGGCTTCTCATAAACTTCAAGCCAAAACAGAAATAGCCTCTGCACCTCCATAGGAAGGTCTTACCTGAGGACTTCTCAATTTATCTCTCTCATACCTCCTGGCACACAGACTGAAAGCCTGTGGTCTTGGCAGGGGAGACTCAAGTGCCAGCCATTTGCCAATGTCTGCATTCACCCCATACTTCTGCCCCTCCATCCCCACCATGCATGTTGGCAAGGGATTGTAGGATACCAGATTCATTGGTCTGAAAAGCCTTATGTTCACCAGTAAGGAAATGTGTCTGCTCAGCCAAAATTCATGAATACTGACGTTTTAATCTTAATTGTTAGTTAATTTTCTTCAAACATGCGTTTGCTGATACCTTTGGCAAGAGCTGGTGGTTTTTGCTGATTCAGTTGAATTCAATGAGCAATATACTGAGTTCCTACTATGTGCATGGCATGGTGTTAAGAATAATAGAAGACAAAAAAAATGCAGATAAGCACTGGTCTTCAAGGAGTTCGGAGTCTAATAGGCAAGAGAGACATTGTATGCAAATAGCTACACTACAACTACTTGGCCTTTTTGGTTTCCAGAATTTATAGAGTAGAACTTGTACCTACCAAGAAAATTGCTTAATATTAGACTCATTGGCAATTCTAAAATATCTATATAGGGGAGATTTGGAGACAAGGATTTGCTTAGAAAGGGCAGAAAAGCTTGGAGTTGTAATTACATAGCTGTGTATGTAGATCTGAAAAATAAAAATGTCAGTTCACTTCAAAGACTAAGGAGAAATGTTGGAGATTTGGTGTAAACAAGAGATAACCCTTAGCATTGAAATGGATAAACTTTCCAAAAACCTTAATTCCACTCATTCACTATTTCTTTCCTGGTAATCATCACAATCTTTGATTATCTTATTTATTTATATTTACTTGATGATGTGTGTTCCTCACTGGAATGTAATCTCATGTGCGCAAAGACCTTGTCTGTCTTGTTTACTACTGCATCTCTAATGGTTTCTGGCACAAAGTATGCTCTAGGTAAGTATTTGTTGAATAAATGTATGGTAAATAACAGAGAATACTAATCTCATTAAAATGCATACTGGTCTCATACTTTGTCCAATTCCTATGTTAAAGAGAAAGAAATATTGGTCTTCTCATTGGAATAAAATCAGACTGTAAGGTAGAAGGTAGCATACCACTTTGCCCACAATAATTATTTCATGACATGTCATTTGTGATGGACAATGGAGGTAGTGGTGATTATATTCTTTATTGTTATACTTAAGTGCATTTGAAATAAAAGTGCACAATAAACAAGACCTAAAAACAAAATTACAAGAGGATGTCAAGGTCAGTACCTCTAGTGAAACCCCCTAATTGGCCAACACTCTCTTCTGGAGAAGAAGCTTCCTAGCCTCATTTCTCCGTCCAAAAGCTCACTTGTCAGTGTGCCTTTATCTGTCCAACTTTTTTTTCCAAAGTAAAATCCCCAAAGATGAGAAAGCCCCTGCTGAGAACACTTGTCTGGCATCCTGGGAAGGACTCAAGAGGACCGTTCATCTATTTAGTGACAGAATTTTCCATGCTTAGTAAATTCTGTTGCTTGGTAATTGCAACTTTGTGTGTTGTGTATTCCCTCTCTAGTGCTCTAGATCCCTTTTTGCTTTTATAGTTATAGAGCTGGTACCCTGTAGAAAGTATATTCTGGGTATTCAATGATCTTAAAAGCTTTGAACAGCAATCTCTCTATTTCCTGTCTTGAGTACTCAAGGGGTTGTATACCTCCAGAAATTAACTATGCAATCTTAACAAGAGGAGATAATAAGAACAAAAAAACGCACTATTTCTCCAACTTGGATATACATTCCCATCAACATAGTTGGAAAGCTTGAAATGGAATAGCAACTCATTTCTAAAAGGAAAAAAACTGATCTGGTAATTATAGTTAATTTCTCTTTTACACTAATTATTTCCATATGGTTTCCTCATTAAAAGCCTGTATTTAGGCTAGAACTTGATGCTAGAAGAAGCAGACAGCAGATTAGAGCACCCTTTGCTCCAGAGAGAACAATTCTTTCCTGGATCCAGACAGAAGACTGAATCCCAGGTAGTCACTTTATACATAAATGCCACTAATCACAAGGTGAGAATGTGGGTGGCTTTCTTCAATAAATCAGAGAGTTTAATCTTGCACATTGTCTAGCAGAAGGTAGGCTCATTAAATTGTTGTTCCATTATTCACCATCAAATCTATTCCAAAGAGAGAAAGAGAGAGAGAAAAAGGCCCTCATTAGTTTATTGATGGTTTTTGGTATCATCTTTGAAGATAAAAAGTCAGGTTGTTAGCAGTGTTCTAAACCTATACAAAATATATGCCAATCTGATACATACCTATAACTATATCTGTGCCTGCCTTGGGCCACATTAGTTCATAAAAGATCCATCCCTGATCCGTCATCTTTGGCCAAGGCAGATGGAGGGAGGGGATGATTCAAGGTCATATGTGAAATTTTTAAAAAGTGCACTGGCAATTTCCCAGCAAAATCATTTGGTGCTAAAGAACACCCTTTACCAAACCTCCAACCAGTCTCCTATGTTTACTCCTGTTTACTTCCTTCACAGACACCCTCTCAATTTATAATTACCATGTTACCATGTTTGTTTATATTTACTTGTTGACCATTTGTCTAACCTTTAGAAAGTAACACCATGTGTGCAAAGACCTTGTCACAAGTCCACTAGGATCTAAAGAGATCATTGCCCATTCCCTTAATTGTACCACCCTTTCATTCTCAAGACTTTGAATATCATTAAGGAAAGCTTTCCCCACTAAATACTTTTATCAGTTTTATTTTTAATTAGATTACATTCAGTGTTTAGAAAACTTTACTTCCTACTTTCACATGGCACTTTAGTCCCTTGGTGTCATAATTGGTTGCAAGCAACAGAAACTCACTCATAACAGTGGGAAGTCAAGGGGAATGAAGTTCCTTATAGGGACATAAAGAAGTTTCATAGGATCCAAAAATACTGTAGAGCCAGTCATGAGAACTCAGCAAACACAGAAAAACAGGCAGCCTCAGAGGTTCCTTCTCTTTCGTGGAGGTGGTGTTTTTTTCTTTGCTCTATGGTTTCTTCATAACTTTGATTTATGCATAACTATCAAGGCCATAGCTAACCCTCCTCTTCTTACAGTCTTTAAATGTATGCACCTACTGATAACTAACAATTTTGTCTCTGTACTCAACTATAACATTGAGGAGGAAGGAATAGGATTGGCTCAATCTATCTTTTCTTAGGAATGCACCAAGACATGTCACTGACATGCATATCTGGAGTTATTCCCCGCTCCCCGCCACCTCACCCACCCCCACCATCAGAGGTCTATCATCACTGGCCATGGCAAGCAGGGAAGAGAATGGATCAGGGTCACATGGGAAGCAGGGGCTGCACATGGGCAGAGCCCTGAGAAAAGGGCCAGTGGTAGGTAGTGCACAAGACATCGTGAGGCACTTCTTAGTTCCTATCAGTCACAGAACTTATAAGTGTCTTAGAACATATTCCATGTAGTTCAGATAATGCAGTTCACTCCTGTCTCCCATGGACACATAAAAATATAATGACTAAGAAACATGAGTACACCTTTCACAACAGGCTATGCAGGTATCTGCTAGTATATTCCTCTTTCCATTCTTTTGGCATGAGTACTTAAGCAATAATGAATATTTTGTTTGTTAGTAAGAAAATAGCTAATTCTATGATGGTTATTATATGTCAGACACTGTTCTAAGCTCTTTACATTTATCAAGTAATTTAATTCTCACACAATCCTTATGAGGTAGGTACAATTATTAATCCAATTTTGAGATAAGGAAACTTGATCACAGAGCTTAGCTACCACAGAGCTATTAAATGATGGGGCCAGAATTTGAAGATAGCTCACTTAAATATCCAAAAAAAATTAGTAACTGATAATATGAAGTGCCATTTGATTCTAAATCCCCTCTTGATAAAAGAAGCTTTACTAGTGCTGTGTTTTGATGACAACTAATATTAAGGGTCAACTTTGTGCCTTGCCAAAGTCTAGGTTGTATGCAGCTTTATTTTTCGTCTGGCACTATCCAGTTATTTTAAGAATAATACCCAGAATTTAAAGAGGTTTCTACTACTAAAATACAGAGACTCCAAAGGAATTCTCTCCCAGTTCTTAGATCATCATGACTTAGGAGGAAAAGATGTCACCCTCAACCACTGGCTCTCATTGTTGAAGGGAGAAGTACACTGATCAGTCTCACCCCAGGAGATTTCCCTAGCCTGCCCTTTTCACTTCCATTTTCAGAGATTTTTTTATTTCACCCTCTTGATAAACAAAAACAGATTTCTGGGGGAAAAAATAGCATAACAACTTTATTTTTTTTCTCAGAAAGCCACTTTCACGGCAGATGGAACTCAGCATGCTATCGCCCAAATCTTTAGCAAACCTGAAATCCAAAGAGTTCCTTATACCAAGGACCACGCATCGTCCCATTTTGTGCCTCTTTAACTGACACTTTGAACCAGTGTACACTTCCTTAATCTGGTCCCATTATCAGCCTAATAACAACTCCTGATATTCATAAATGCCTAGCAAGACTTTCAGCTATTTTGTACGAAGAAGAAATACCCAGCTAAATTGAGAAGATTACCACATCACCACATACATCAGTGACAGGCTCTGTGCTATTACAGTTGATTTTTGTTGACAGTTGGCTGTAGGCAGTTGTGTTTCAAATGCCTTTTTTCACTGGGAAATTAAACAAAATCCCATGCAAAATGCAGCCCTCCAGTTCAAAAACTGTAAATCCCAAATTAGCATTTCATACTTTAAAAGGTAGCACAGCACAATTTTCCATTGAAAGGTCTGTACAGTTGACACAAATGGGTGCTTCAGACATGACATTAATGCTACTGGTGCCATTTAAGAAAGCCACCTTTTTCAGATATTATTTTTCCTCTCTCAATAATCTGCATATACTATAGTTCTTGCCTATGGAAGAAAAAAAAAGAGGAAGGAAGAAAAAAATCTGAAATATTTCTTCAAGTAAATTATGTTCCCCCAAATTTCTAAACAAGTGAAAAAGAAATGAGTAATTAAATCCCCACAAAGAGAAGAGGGAAAACCTAGGCAGCCAAAGGTTACAAGTCACTTCTTCCACTAAACATTATGAAGAAAAAGGTACTTCTATAAGCTAGAAAGGCATCTGTGTCTAGAACAGGCCTGATATAAGAGCTTCCCGATTTTGATACGGGTTAAAGTCCTGTTTACCACAATTCTAACATGTGGGGTGAAAGTCATGGGACTGACATCAAATAGGGGTATTTGATTCTTAAGACTGGAAATCTATTTTCCTTCTTACCCAGGAGACTCTTCAGAGTAAAAGAGTTTTAAACAGTGCCATTCCTTCATCCAGGAACAATTGCTATTTAACTGGAAAACCAAAAAAAGACAATAGTTGTCAGTCCGGGACACAGATATATTTAGAGAAAGAAATGCAATGTTTATTTCTGGACTGTGGCACAAACATAAAATACTAGTCGGACAATTTCATTTCAATCCTTTAGCAGACATCTCACTAACAGCGCTTGATTCTTAGCCATATGAAGTCAAATGTCCAGTGGTCAGAACCATTGTGCAAAAGCCAAATGGGAAAGAATAATCACAGCCCTGTTCCTTGACCACTTTCATAATTTGAAGTAGGACAAAAATTTGGACTTTTTAAAATAAAAGTTAATGTTCCAGAAGTTCACATGGTCAAAGGAAAACCACTATTTTTGAGCATTCGGAATGCTCAATTCCGAATGGTGAGCATGTGAAAAATGAATGTTAGAGCTCCATTTATCTTAGTGATGTTTAAATGCATGGGACCCAGTTCAGGTAAGAAATGGAAAACTTACTTCACCAAAGCTGCTGCAAACCCCAGACATCCCCCCTAGGATTTTTCTGGATCAAATGATTCAGATGTAAGAATATCATTCCAATTTTATAGTTTTGGTTTACCATGTTCTAATGGTGACTAACTAGCCTATGACTTCAAGTAAACCTTGCTTTCACAAAAATTTAGTGCTTGGCCAATCTGAAGAAATTCACTTAAACAAATGCTTCAGCTCTGCCTTTTTGTTTCATTCCAACCATATAGTTTGTCTGCCTACAAAGGAACTCAGCCTCAAGAAGGTAGGCTCAGGAAAAGACAGTCATGCTAACTAATCAGGTCTGTGGTTGCCTGGGGCTGGGGTGACCAGAAAATTGATCACAAAGAGGCATGAGGGAAATTTGGAGGTGGTGGAAAAATTCTGTACCTTAACTGTGGTGGTAGTTATGTGGATTTTACGTAGGTACAGTTTATTGTACATACAGTGCACTTTGATCAAGTTACTGAAAATTGAAAAACCCAATCATGACAGAGGTGTCTTTTTCCCATGAGACAGAATTCCATACAGAAGCACAGTGAGACACTTAAAAAAAAAAAAAAAAAAAAAAAAAAAGGAGCCCAGTTCCATATCAGTGTCATGTCGAGGACAATCTAGACACTATGTAGTTTGTGTTTCTAATGAAGAGTAAGCAATGCCCAGATTACATTCTTGTCCAGGTAAGGACAAAAAGTTCCGTAATAATGTGAGAGTGAGTAACATCTTAATTACATAAGCAACTCATTCTGGACTTCTTTCTCAATTGTGGGTCAATTTCTAAAATAAAGAAACAAATAGTAACAGAAACAACAAAACTCTACATAATTTTCGAAAGAGAAAGGAAATCCCCAATCCTCTAGGGAATTATTAAGAGATCTACCTTTTATCTTAGTTTGGAAATAAAATTTCCCAAAGTTCGTGAAAGCATTACCTTAACACTTCTTTACTTATTTTTCAAAGAAACAAATATTGTACATAGTTCTGAAAGTTATCATTTGCAGGACAGTGGTTTTTTTCTTGAACAAAAGCCCAACTTCCAAACAAAATAAAGGTAGTTCATGGGGGGAGATTTCTTCTCCACTGCTGTTTGCCAGTAGCTTTCTGGACAAAAGAAGAGGCACAGACAAAGTGACAGCAGGGTACTGCTTTAAGAGATTGGTATTACAGGAAAATTCTAAATTAGAAAATAAATTAGAAATAATTATTCTCCTTAAAAAAAGTTCTATATTTTACATAACTGGTACACTTTAAATATAAATTCCCTTCAGTTCATTTAAAAAGTTACCTACTTTAAAATTATTTAGAGAAAACTTTCCACGAATATTTTGAATATAAAATGAGATATGAATTTGATTATGAACAAGTATAAAAAACTCACCTAAGTATGTATGGCATATCTTTACTTTTTAAAAGTGCATAATATATCTTTATTTTGAGAAACATAGAGACTTCATTAATTGTTCTAATTTTTGCCTCTGTGACATTCCTAATGAGTCAGGTAATGGGACATGTTGAGTATTTTTGGTTGGGAAATTGAACTGCAGAGAACTTAAATGATTTTCCTGGAGTTATGTATTCAATTAGTAGAAGTGGTTCAATAACTGATTTCCTATTTCCAAATACAGTGCTGTTTCACTAGACAAATGCTACTTCTTTCTGTTACTATATTTGAAAAATATCATATTGTACATTTTATTTTATTCTTTTCAAAGAGCTTCTCATACGTTAAATATTCATTCATTTATTTACTCAGTAAAGAATATTTATTAAGAAACAACTAATTGCCAGTCCTCAAAATGAACAGTACATAATCCCTGCCTTTAAGGATCTTAGACTGTAGTTGGGGTAAAAGACACGTAAATACCTTATAACAACACAGCAGAGTTCAATTATGTAGATAGACATAGGTATGAAGACAACACAAAGGATATCTACTTAAGCCTGGCTCAGGTAGGAAAGAGGAATTAGAGAACAATTTATCACTTCGAGAAGAATTGATTACTGAGCTGAGTCATGAAGACTTTTTTAAAGTTTACCAAGGAAGTAAAATAAGGTAGAGAGAGGAGAGTGTCTGTGTGTGTGTGTGTGTGTGTGTGTGTGTGTGTGTGTGTGTGTCCAAAGGTAGGGGCACAATGCGGTAAATGAGGATAAAGCTTATCAAATCTGAACGTTTTAAAGGAACTTAGTAAACAGAGTATTTGCACTTGAGTGATAAAAAAGGAAAGACTCAGGGATATAAAGCAACATACACAAGCTTCCACAGTTAGCTGATTCTGACTCCTACTTAGCTGCCTTTCTACTATCCCCCATTGTCCATTTAGGTGAAAATGATAATTAAATGTTTCTATTTCATTGAAAAATGGCTGGTTATTTGTCATGTTTTGTCTTTAACAAAATGAAATGCCATGTAGACACAATGATTTTTTGAAAAGATTAATTTCTGGTTGGGAGCATCACCCATCCACACCATTTGTATATCACTGTTTTCCCAAATGGTTTCCTGCATATAATTTCAAAATAACCCAGGAATTTGAAAGTAAATTTCCTGTCCTCATTGTGCAAACTGAAAGAAGAAAATAACAGATAAAGAGAAGAACAGTTATTTTACACAATCACATGGTAAGTGACAGAATGCAGACTTGAACCTAAGATTTCTGAATTTCCAGCCTAAGATCTTTCCACTGCACCCCCAGCGACCTCTGAGAAACATAGAAAAGAGAATTTTTAATGTTTTCTCTTCATATGTTGCTGTTTGTTGTTTATTATTAGTTAAAGAGGCACATATAATTCCTTACCTTGAAAATCAGAAGTATTATTACTGGGGGTAGGGGAGGAGGGTACATGATGGTAAAGAGACTCAGATGCCTAGAGCTATCAAACAGAAGCCACCAATGTCTGTGTTCATACAAAGCCGCACGCCTACAATGTCACAGTAAAAACATGCGAAAAGGTAAAATATATTTCTGACTTTAGAAAACAATGGCTTTTATCCAAACTCATTATAAACCTGTCTATTCAATGGCTCCCTTTTAAGACACATGGGAAAAAAAACAAAAAACAAAAAAATGTTGCTTTATATTGGTGCCATAAATTTAGAGGAAAAAAAACAATTTTGCCATGTTATTTTTCAATCACCCAGCAAAATTCAAGTTCCCTTTGACATTGATGCTATTCCCAATTCAACATTGCTAAATTTTAACTATCCTCCCTTTCAATTAGCTGGGTTTCTATTTGCTTACTTTGTCCGTGGTTATAGCCTTCCTTCATGGACCTAAGATCACTGTTTTCCTTTCTCTTTATGCTCTGTGAGCATCAAGTATCATGGGGCATGCGTGTAATTGTCATTCAGTGTGAAAAAGCCAGCTGGAGGTATCACAATCATGTCAATATACCAGTCAGCAAGAAAACCTCCAAACTGATTGTTTTCTATTTAGATATAATATCAAATGGATTGAAAATTACTGCTTCTACAAACTTCTGAGTGCCATTACCATGTTTTTTATACTTTTGTACAATCAACTAATAAAATATGTGTGTATGTATATACACACACATATAGATGTATATGTATGTGTATAATTGTTCCAAAGAAAATAAAATTTGTTATATCCATAGAACATATGCATAACCAGAAATTATTTAACTACCATGAGAGATGGAATCCTGGGGCTCCGGGAAACTGTGAGAGATTAGCTAGATCAGACCACCTAACTCTTTTCAAGAACTGCAGTGAAATTCATCCAATGAAGACTGCTGTTTTCCCTCAGCAGAAAATTCTCCCACCTTTGAACACTTCTATTTATTTATTTATTTATTTATTTATTTATTTATTTATTTAATTTTTTTTTTTTTTGAGATGGAGTCTGGTTCTGTCACCCAGGCTGGAGTGCAGTGGCACAATCTCGGCTCACTGCAACCTCCACCTCCCAGGTTCAAGCAATTCTCCCGCCTCACCCTCCCGAGTAGCTGGGATTACAGACATGCACCACCATGCTCAGCTAATTTTTTTATTTTTTAGTAGAGACAGAGTTTTGCCATGTTGGCCAGGCTGGTCTTGAACTCCTGACCTCAAGTGATCCACCCGCCTCGGCCTCCCAAATTGCTGGGATTACAGGTGTGAGCCACTGCGCCCGGCCCCAGAACACTTCTCTTTAGGTCTACCTTTATAGTACGTGTAGTGTCCAGTGTCCTTTCTAGGTAACAATGTCTTGTTCAATAATCACTTAAGCTCCTTTCTGTTGCTCAAAAGTAAAAAAAAGAAAAAGAGGTTCACTGCCACTATATAATATTACTGTGTATTCAGAGCTGGTAGCCATACGTAAATGGAGCTGAAAATGTACCAAAATGGAGAAAGTTGCATTTTATAGATCTCTTCTAAGGGATGAGAACTATGTGATAAGAAAAAATCACTTGCTAATCACTGAGACGATGGTGGAAGGAGAAGTGAACCCTTCCAGAGGCATTCTATAGTAACAACAGATAGTTGACAAGTTGCCTTCTAATATAATTCAGTATGGTCAACTATAAAAGCCAACTGTGCTAAAAAAGGATGCAAATTTTTGACCAGAACTGGATTGTTCAGGACGACAGAAAAGGACTGAGAATTGTGTCAATAATCTTCTCTTGCCTTCCCTTACACAGCACAGTTCTTTTAATTTAGTTACATGTTGAACAAAGACACCAAGTGAATATCCTGCCAAGCGTGCAGATGTGTCTCAGTCCAGGCACCTAGCTGAGTAGCTGGCAACTGGCTGACTTTGCATGAGGAAACTTAGCCTTCCTTGCCTAGCTCTCAACTAAGCACTTGATATGAATTAACAGTTTCTAAAAATTTCTAAGCCACAAACTCTTGATTCAACTAAAGGCTTACTGTTTAAATAAATAAAAATAAGGTGACAAATTCTAAATGTTTCTAGGTGCAGCTGTGGAAGAGGGATGGAAAAGAGCCTGACAGACTGAGATGAACATAGGGATATTCCAAGGAAACCCTTGGTTTTCTGGGGAGAAGGGTTGTAAACCACCAGACTACAGGATCATATCTTACCAGAGGTTGTTGGGGAGGGGAGAATGGGGAGTTGTTGCTTAATCATTCTGTAGTTTCTGTTGGATTGATGAAAAAAGTGGAAATAGTGGTAATGATTGCACAATATTGTAAATCTACTTAATGCCAATAAATTATATACTTAAAAGTGGTTTAAATGGCTAATTTTATGTTATATATAACTTACCATAATAATTTTTTAATTAGGATGTGATCTAACGAGGCTATTTGATATTTCTTAATACTTCTTTATTTCTGTTTTGTTCCACTGGAAGGTCAATGGGGCCTCTTTAGCATATTCTAAAATCTAGCAAAGTTTTTCTTTAGCTAGCACAAGAAAAGCAATGGAAAAAGAAGCCAAGGGATATATATAATGGCCCACTCTTTTACATTCAGAAATACAATTATTTATCCATAAAGCAACATAGAAATGAATAAAATTAACTTACAAATATAAACACTACACATAAACATATAGAGCAAAGGGCATACGATGTTTTTGCTGCAAAAAAGCCTCTGTTACTGCAATTTCACATGGGTTTTCCTGCTCTGAACCACATGTTGTCTCTAATCTTTTCATGAATTTTTTTTCTTCCTCTCCTTGTTTATTCTCTGCTATAGAGCTAAAATGTTAAATATGACATCAACACTACTTTGTTGCTTAGAAGCAATGTTTCAATAAACTCCATTAAGACTCTCTTTTCTTATTTGAAACCTACAACTTCTGCAAATGGCTGCTGCTTCCAACTGTCTTCTGTGAGCATTCCCTTTTTCTGAGGTTCTCCATGCGTTCAGCCCAGTCTGATCTTTGCCTACCCCAAGCTATTCCAGATTACCCCTATCCTTTCTAAGTAAATAGGTCATCACAGAACTACCTGCCTTAAAAAGACTATCACTTTGCTATAAAATCTAACATAAGCTAAATAAGGTTATATCAATCAACACAACACAACTACCTTTAGGAATATATAAATAATTTTTTCACAGCCAACCTATAGATACAGAGGTAAGAGGAGTGAAGAAGAAAGTTATCTATGTGTCATTGTTTCAAGCTCCAGGAATTCGAAGGCCGAAAACTGCTTTGAAAGAGAGAGTAACCCAGGTAAGGAGCAAGCAAGAGTTATATTAAGGAACTACCAAAACAATAAGCAGATGCCCTCCTTGGAAATAATGGGGGTAAGGAAAGCCTAGATTTCATTAAGGCAAGTGCTGAGAAGTTTACGTGAGGAATACATGGAGGATGGTAGAGCATTTTCTCATGAGAAAAACAAAGTTCCCAAGGGATAAGCAGAGGGGAAGAACAGGAGAATAAGGCAGGGTCTGTGCAGCACTGTGGAAATGGAATGAAACGTAGATGTTCTGCACCTGGTAGAAAAAACAGCGGTTATCTTATTTACCAGCCTGACTCTACAAAACTCAGCAGAATGTCATTAAAGATGTGCAATTCCATAAAGGAAAGGCTATCTGGCTCCTGATTGGCAAATGATACTTGCCACCTCTTCCCCTAGGCTCAGGAGAAGAACGTGTGGTGCTGAAAGGGACAGATTTTGTTTTCACTCCTGTTGGCTGCCGGCATGGGACCCAGCAAAAGCAACAACAGCAGCCGAGTCACGCAAGTGCAAACTTGCTGCTTTTTAAGCAACAAGCTGGCAGGGAAGAGATCCTCTCTTTATCATGTATTTATTTATTTATAATTTGTAAAGCATCCATATCCAAATGGATTTGAGGCAGTTTGCAATAAAAACACATGTACACATGTCACAGGATACTTAAAATAAAGGTCAGAGAGAGCCTAGAAAAAAAGAAGGATAGATCTTCTTGTACAATGTTCCTCTGCAGGAAAACTAGCCAGGAAGAGGGGACAGCCTAGGACAAATAGGCAGCAGGTGCTTTTCCTAGGGGGCGCTCTCCCACCGCCATTTCTGTTCATGGAAATCACCAGGGAAAGACCTCTCATCTGGGCATATGCCTAAAGCAAAGGTTCCAAGCCCTCAGAAGAAGCAAAGTGGGGTCTGGTGTTGAAAGGGCAAGATGCTGCCGAGTATAGAAGCATCACTCCCGCACCCCCCAGCCCAGGAGAGAACACTGCTAAGGGTGTGAACATCCACCCTAAGGTCAGCAGACGGGGTCAATCTGCCTGTCTCCAAGAGAGGTATCACAGGAGACTCCTCAATGCCAAACTCAGTGTAAGCTAAAGGCAAAAGGTCTAGACCCCAGGGCCTTGGAATCAGCTTCATCTCCCTGTTGCCTTTACATAGAGCCTCTTCTTCACATGCATCAAAAACCCACTTGAGGCTGGTTTCCAGGTCTGCACAAAAGATCACTGAGTACCATCCAAGAAGTTCTCACTCTTCAAGAATCCTAATGGAGTAGGCTCCACAGTGACCACACACAGAGCAAGCACGATGACCTGCACAGAGGTCTGCCATCCCATCCAAAGCATGACTGTAACTTCACTTTGTGCTCCCATACAGTGAAGCATTCTTTAATAGAGGTTGGGATGCTGCTTCAAGAAATTTCAGAGACAGCCCTTCTCTTCCCACATGACCCATCCCTTGCCAGGTTCTACCTGCCACAACTGAAGCTGACCACCACTGCTAGAGCATTTGCTCACAAACCATGCAAAGTTGGGAGCACAGGAGGGTAAATGCTAACAATTGGACACCTTCTGTGTCACAGACATGCTGCCTAGTTTGCTGTGGCTGCAGTTTGAATTTTTTTTTTTTAATAACGGGTGGACGCAGATGGTTTGAGGGTCTCACCGAAAGAATTCTGAATCTTCTGCTAATAAAATCCCAAGACAGATATGTTTATCAATGATAAAAAGAAAAAAGAAAAAAAAAGTAACTAGGAAAATGCATAGAGTACTGACACCACGAGAGATGAAAGTATAAAGACATAAATTAGAAGCTGCGGCCTTGGGCAAGTTCTTACTAATTTAGTTCTATTGCTGCTTGGTTGAAGGAAATGGTTCTTTTTTTTTTTTTAGCTTGGCACAGCTGAAGCCACCTGAGGGATTGGAAACATCCTAGGACAATGATATCTCTAGGAAATGCAAACATCTAGGTACCACTGCCACAGAGAAGAATCCACTTTGGGCTCCCTCATGCTTTTCCTAATTGTGGCATCTCCTATGACTAAAGAAACGTGTCAAATGGGAACTGACATGAGCAACTGGTTGGACGGTCCCGCCAGCAATGTTGGTCCCAGCTTGGTCAATTCATGCCACCCTGTGTGTCAACTATCAGACCAAAGAGTTGGTAAGATGGGACATCAAAGGCACTAGTTTTCAGACCTTATGTGTCCAAGATTTATCATATGTCTCTGGCATGCTGAGCAGTATACTAATTCTTAGTTCTCACAAGGAGATGAGAATGGAAGGAAGTTACAGCCTCACGTATCAATGGAATCACCCATCACTCACTGAGCTATTTTTTTTTCTACTGTGATATGCTTCCTCATTATTCCGGGTAATCAGGTATTGACTCTCATTATATTTGCTACATTAATGGTTTCTCCTAATACTCCTGCCCACCCTAGCCAAAGCTGAGTCCAAACACCTCCTCCCCATTGCCATCTGTCTCTAGAACTTCAGTCTCTCTCCCCTCCCAGCAGGAGAGCGAGGCTTGCCTTCTCTCCATACTCTATCAAGATATATAGTAATAGGTTCAAGAGGGCGAAAACTTGGTTCCAGCCTCTCTGATGCTTTGACTCACCCTCGTAAAAAGTTATTGGTGTCAGCACTGGTCTAACAATTGCCTCTCCCTCCATGCCCCTTGGCTTCTATAATTTCACTTCCCCTGCTGCACCATACAATAAACTCTAATGAGCGCTCACATTCCTTCACCAAGCACCCTCCACCAACAAGTCAAACCAGGAGAGGAAAATAACTTTCCGCAGAAAATTCATGCAGCCATGAAGTCCATGTCCTCAGCAAGTTAACCAACATACAGAAGCATGCCAGACTTCACAGAAATGGGAATCCATTAAAAATAGGGAAAAGAAAGAACATGATCTATGTTCAAGAAAAACATCAGCTCCAGCCTAACACAAAATAAAAGAAAGAGAGAAGAGGGAAGAACTGAGCTGAAAATAACTTTTCAAAATTTTTTTCTAAGATTTGTGTTACGTCTTTCAATATGTAAGTAATTGGGACTTCCTTCCTTCCTTCTTTCCTTCCTTCTTCCTTCCTTCCTTCCTTTTCCTTCCTTCTTTCTTTCTCCTCCCTCCCTCCTTTCTTTCTCTCTCTTTCTCGCTCTCTCTCTCTCTCTCTCTCTCCCTTTCTTTGAGAGGCTCACTCTGTCACCCAGGCTGGAGTACAGTGGCATGATCTTAGCTCACCACAACCTCTGGCTCCCAGATTCCAATGATTCTCATGCCTCAGCCTCCCAAGTAGCTGGGATTACAGGCATGTGCCATTATGCCCAGCTAATTTTTTGTATTTTTAGTAGAGACAGTGTTTTATCATATTGGCCAGGCTAGTCTTGAACTTGTGACCTCGGGCAATCTGCCTGCCTCAGCCTCCCAAAGTGCTTGGATTATAAGCATGAGGCACCGCGCCCAGCCAGAATCATTTTGTATACATAATGAAATGTATATATGACATGTTTGCACATGAGTTAATTTCACCAGGAAATGAACCAACATTCCTTAGCCCCCTACTATGTGCTAGGCCCATTTGATTTATTTAATCCAAGAGTGAAAATATGGGTCTAGAGTGACTTCTGTCTCACAACATATATTTTCTGAATTGTTCTAACAAATATGTTTATATCATGAAGACACACAGATACAAATGCGCAGTCATTTTTCCATTATCTCTTTGTCCCTTTTCCTAGCTTACATTCAGTTGATTTCAGTTTAGCATACTACCATGAGAGGGATAGATGAAAACCCATGTTCTTTGAACTGTCCCCTAATGTCTCTAGTAATTCTCTTGCGTGGGACTCCATGTTTCTTCCATGAAGCAGGAAAACATAAAGACTGGGAAGCTTCTTGGCCTGGAGCTCCCTGTGGGGGTCATGCCCTTTCTCCCTGGGCCTCTGTGAATCAAAAGGACCTTTTGGGTACTCACTACCCTGCTCCCCTGGGGGCCACTGCAAGAAAAGAAAGAGGGCCCACATAAAAAGGAGAAGCTCTATGAGTACTAGTGTCAGAGAGAGCAGGGTTGGGCAGAGCCAATTTCCAGGAGAAATACTAACAGATGGTTCCCCGAAGGGGAATCCTAAGGGAGCCAGGAAAGTTAAATTTGGAGATGAGAAAGAATAATAACTGAAAATACTTTTACAAAATATTGCTTGGTAAACTCTCACATACTTATTATTTTCTTCCTTGTGTGTCCCCTGTGGTAATGGCTGGGGGGGTGGGCGGTGGGGGGGGAAAGCCTTACAACATACTTGAGGGTTTTCATGCTTTCAGAGTCATGTATGAAGACAGAAAAATATCCAAATATCCAGGTAAGTGCCTCCTGTATGCCCTGGACAAGGAGAAGGAGTATCCTGGAGAGCAGAACCAGTGATGGCAATGAAGAAGGGGAGGAGAGATGAACCAGGGCACTCATCTCGTGGACCACTTAGTATGTGAGAAAATGGCTCAGAATGCAAAGAAGCTTGCCAGTAGGCACAGAGCAAGTGGGAGAGCCAGAGCATGAACGTGTGTTTTCTAATTCCAGCTGCAATGCTGACTACATTAAACGCCACCTTTCTAAATTGACCTCCTGTCCTGAAATATATGCCCTAATTCTTTCTTTCTTCACCTGGCAACTGGGTTTATCACAGAAAATCATTTTCCTCAAGCTATCGCCCATTTGAAATGTCAGTGGCTCCAGGACTAGTTATTTACAGCTGAGATTCTCAGGTACTTTCCCCTGCCACTGCACATCTGATGGGTGATATTCCTACATGTGGCAATGGATCTCTTGTGTCTACACCGTCAGCTTTGTAGCTCTAATGCCACCTCCTTTCTTGCCATTCAATGATTGCATTGGAATTTAAGAGCGTGAAAGTGATACTGCTTGCCCAAGGGATCAGTTACCTGCATAAACAGGAAGTCAAATCCCTTATAAAGATCCTCTCCATCTACTGATGCCTCTGCCTCAAGTATGTCTGGAAATCTCCAGAGCATCTCACAACATTTGAGCTGTTCCCAGTGCCCCAGTCTTTCTGGCTACTCTCCTACACATATTATTCCTCTTCAGGCTGCCCTAGACTAGTGAGGAGATAAATGTCAAAGCAGTCTCTCCACTCCATGTGGCAATCTGTTAAAAGAGCCCAAAGGCAGTGTTCCCTGTGCCCCAGTGGGGGGACATTTATTTACTGCCTTCTGTTTTCTCAGGGCCTAGGTCTACATCAGGAGGTTGGATCAGGAGCAGATTCCAAGAGAAGCCAGCACTAGAATGTAGGCTGAGTGATGATAAAGTCTTTATCCCTGGCTCGTGCTGCTTTATGTTTCTAGCTTATTCTCCCTTGGATCCATGCTCTTCATCCCATGCAAATGGATGCCATGCATATGGCACTGGATATTACTCCTACTCTCCCACAAACTGCCCAAGATGGCCCAGCCATGCCTAAATCCCAGCAGTGGACAAAAGAAGGCTTCATGGTATGCTGAGATCCCTACCACATATGATCATAAAGGTAGCAACTTAAATTTACATAAAACAAATATAAGTCAAACAAAACTTCTAGTAGTTATTTTTCCTAGAATCAAATTACTCTGACACACCTTACAAGTGATTATGACAGATCAGCTTGTTGCAATACTACAGGTAAAAGTAGCTGGACAGTAGGAGGAAAGTGAAACTGTCAACTGACAACACTGGCTGTCCGAAGTGAACATGTCCAACGTCATTTTCCATTACTTTTTGCTCGGTGGTTGCACTTCCATCCCATGATCAGAGCACTGCCTCAACAAGGTGAGTGCTTTCATCATCTCGGTGCCACTGATAATATAATTCCCAAGGCCCGGAAACACCCCATCTCCATTCTTACCTAGTTACTGTCCAAATGTTAAGCACCCTTTAAGGTCCAAATGCTTCTTCCACCAGGAAGCCCTCCCTGATGACCCTAACCCATACTCTTCATCTTATCAGCAGTAAATCTGAGAGTCTGCAGCATTCCCTGGGCACAGAGAGACTGCACTGAATGACTGGCATGCAACGTGTGTCACTTGGTTGGATGAAATGCTAGGAATGAAGAAATTAGATTTTTATGCTGGGCCTTTTATGTCACTTGTAGTCCAGAATTAAATTTCATAATTTTATAACTTCTTTATTAAATTTCACTTCCATGATGAGCAGTACAAAGTAAAATTTCTCACAAACTTTTTTGTAAAAATTTGGTGAAATGTTATATTGAGAGCCTCTCAACATTTTATTATTCATGTGTCTATCTGTGGACATTTTCATGGGCTCAATACATTAACAGATTAAACATAGTTTGTATAGAAAATGTTATTTTCACTTAAGAAAGTAAAAGTTGTTATGATAATCCCAGAGTATATAAAACTCTATCTATCTATCTATCTATCTATCTACCTATCTACCTACCTACCTACCTACCTATCGAGAGACAGAGAGAGAGAAATCTAGTAAATTCATGGCTGGAAATACTACCCACCCATGCTCTGCAGTAAGGACTAGAAACTCAATATTCTTTAATGTAACCAGGTTGCCAGAAAGCAAAGCAGATTCTGTGTAATTCCCATTTTCATAGAAATTCATAATACCATATGAATCCTAGTGGTGTAATAGCTACCACCTCTTCCTTATACTTCACACTGGAGTTGCTTTTGTATTTTTTCTTTTGGGAGAGGTAAATTTGAGGGTAGTAGCCACTATTTACAGTAAAAGGCTGTTATGGTGTTTTTCAAGGAACCGAAATAAGAAAACTTTATAAGCAGGGGAAGTGGTGGAAGCAAGAAACAGTATAACTTGGGGAGCTTCTCAAGGGCTTTCAGAATTGAATAACATCCTTAGGGGGTACAAAACTAGATGTGGGATGATAGTAATGAGATTTTGTTGTACCTTTTAGACTAAAAGAATAAAGGTAGTCAAAGGGACTATGATTTGCTTCCAGGGAATACATGGTTACCCAGACATATTTATTGAGATCTGATGTATTTCTGGATTCCTGTCATTCTGTTATGAATCCCATACTTTCTAGACTGATTTCCAGACATGAAGATATTTTCTTTTTTCTTTTTCTTTTCTTTTTGAGACAGTCTCGCTCTGTCACCCACGCTGGAAGGCAATAGTATGATCTCAGCTCACTGCAACCTCTGTCTCCCAGACTCAAGCAATTCTCCTGCCTCAGCCTCCCGATTAGCTGGGATTACAGGCGCACACCATCATGCCCCGCTAATTTTTGTATCTTTTAGTGGAGACAGGGTTTCACCATGTTGGCCAGGCTGGTTTCGACCTCCTGACCTCAAGTGATCCACCTGCCTTGGCCTCCCAAAGTGCTGGGATTACAGGCGTGAGCCACCGCGCCCGGGCTAGACATGAAGACATTTCCCAGAAATCCTGCCTATCCCCAGAACTCCCTTGTCTCTGAGTTAGCTGCCTTCTTAATCCTTCATATTCTTACAGATGGATTCAGTCAGATCATCTAGTCTACAATGTTGCATTCTTCAATTACACCTCAATATTTACGGAGGGTTTACTATGAACCAAGCACAGTAGAGACCTAAAGATACCTGTAACATGTGGACAGTTTATAAGCAAACTGGAGTAATCCTACCCTATGAAAAAGAAGTTACAAAGTAGACAACAAGTGCTACATTGGCTTAAAGTAAAGAGAGAGGGAGGAGTCAGCAGGAGAGGGGAGGGGAGGGAGGGAGAGATTTAACTATTAATCATAAGCGATCACTTAACTTGAGGTCCACCTTAACAGGGTGATCAGAGGATTCCTGGAGGAAACGGAGAGGTTAGACATCCAAGAAGAGCCTGGAAGTGGCCTGTGTGTGGCCTTGCCTGACAGTCTTGCAGTCTAACAGTTCGGTTCCTGCAGCAGTTCCCAAACTGTGGTCTGTTGTACATTTTATGGGAATTATAAAGGTGTTATGAAAAAGAGGGAAGGAGAGGAAAAGTGTAAAGCAAATGAGGGGAAAAACCTGGATTAGCTGGATTTTTTAAGGCAGGATGATCATGATCTTTTAATGTGTTAATGTTCATTGTTAATCTGTAAGACAGGGGTGTGGAAAATATTATTTCCCAAATGTATCTAATCAAAGGGCTTTTTGTTGTTGTTTGTTTGTTTAGGTCTTGTTTTGGGTAACGAGTACTTCACAAGACTAGTATTCAATAAGCCACATTGTGGGGAATGCCACCATTACTTGTTAGGTGACTTACATTAGCACTGACAAGGTAGAAAAGTCATTCCCTGTGAGCCTTCTCCTGTGATGCAGAGGAGTCAACTTTTGAATCAACTCTGACTCCAAGACCTCTCTGACACAAGCTCTTCTTTGCCTCTTGATGTGAACTTTGCTTTCTACGTAAAACAACAAAAGCATTGTATCTGCTGACCAATAAGGGCTTCAGTAGGAACAGAGGAATGAGATTCTGACTTGCATAATATTTCAGGGCCTTCACAGAGCACTGCTTGCTAGTTAACCTCTTGGGGGCAGGCAGGAGTTTCTGCCCCCAAGCATTAATGCAGCTAGGGAAATATCTGTTCCCAACATCATCAGGGTAATAAGAAAACCCATTGCAGATTAGTTCTTTTAATTCAAGGTACCATCCGACTGAAATGCTGCACAGCTCCTGTGCTGCCTCCAAATTAAGTGACTGGAGGCAATTTTCATTCTATTTCACATTTTGTCTTTTCTACCAATAGCACAGGGCATCCCTCTCTGCTCCATTACCATGGATGGTGCCAGTTTTTGACTTTGATTTCCGAGTCCACTTTTTAAGGCATCATGTTCGTGCAAGTGGACTCCAAGCCCTCAGAACTAGGTCAGGCATTTGCTGGAGGTCATTACAAGGCTACAAAATAGAGCATGCTTAATTCTGTTATTTCTGAAGATTTTCTTCTTCTCTCTCATGTGCATAGAAGACAATCAGTACTTAATTAAATTTTGGAACTGTTCCTGAAAATTTCAGACTATCAAAGATGCATGTGACCTCCTTTCACCCTAGCCACTCAAGAGAGGTTTAACAAAAGCATGTAAAAAGGAAAGAAGGGGGCTTGTCGACCAAAGACTTGAGAAACTATATCAATTGTTGCACTTCTATTTTAAATGCCAATGCTTAAAGCATCTAGCAAGAAAATCCTTAGTACACAGAATGCAGGGATGAAAGTAAGCTGGTCATGAGTTCAATCTGTTCATATTAGGTAGAGGAGCGACTTAACCAAGATGAATATTAGTACAGTGATAGCCCAATAAATATTCAGGTTATTACCCAATTAGCAGGAGCATAAACTAACATTAAATAGTGAGCAGACTGAGGTGTCCAGGTCCCACCCTCCAATATTGAGGCACTCAGTTCCCCAGATGTTGGGTGTGTGGTGAGTGACAGGTGGGAATCCCTTCTGAGAGTCCTTGAGGGACAACAGTCACCTCATCCAGATCAAGTCTCTTTCCTGAGGCAGCCTATACATCCAGTGTGGGCTCTGTAAGAACCTGTCCTTTGCACCAAATGGGAATGGGAGGCAATTCTGCAGGGCACCCCAGCAAAGGTTCCAGGCCTTCTTCTGATTACATTGCTGTCCTGCCGCCCTTTTGGCCAAGCCTTGCTCTCTGCAGCCCACACAGGTCTCGTTCCTGAGAGCATTTTCCAATCAGCTTCTTTCTTGCTAATCTCCATCTCAGAGCCTGCCTCAAAAAAAAAAAACAAAAAAAAAAAAACAACTCATCTGCAACAGAATTCAAAGCTTCAGGGTACATTTGCTGTCCCTACTCCAGAGTTGCTGGCATCCTAGAACACACAGTTGGATGGGCTTTAAAAAAGTGTTAGTTTCCTGACTATGGAATTTTTTTTAAAATGCAGAAATACTGTGGACAATTAGATGTCAAGAAGCCAGAGCTCTCAGTTCAATAAAATTCTCTCTCCTCCTCCCTCCTCAATAGCAACACAAAAATATGAAGTTAATAAAAGGAATAGAAGATAATGTCTCATTTTGGAAAGTTTCTTTTCAGTGAGTATGAAGGCAATTATCAAAGTTAGCTGCATCAACAATCAACCATGGACTGCAGCCACCTTATTAGTGAAAGGGAGGGGATCATTTTTAATTTGCCCGGGATCTCTTATACATTGATTCCATGTGATTTACTGTGGGTTTTATTCAGCAAGAATTGTAAGCCGTTTCCATGCTGTAGAGACCCAATATTTTTATTGTGTGGTATTGTCCTTGACTTTGCCCCACTCCATCTTGGTGTTAAAACATGTTCTCAACAGAATTGGCCAATGTTGCTTCATTTTATCTTGACACTGTTACCCTGTCTCCATAGACTCACATTGACTGTGTCATCAGGTCGGGAAAAGATGTGAATTTGTCACATTAAATAACAGAAGAATTAGCATCACACATTAAACATTATGAAAAGCTTCTGCATATGTTCTGAAAACCTAGGCATTTGGAAGAGGTGGAAAGCAGGAGTCAAGTGCTGAGAATTCCAGGGATTGTGGCACTGGTTTGCACAGAATTATTATTTAAACCAGCCAGTGACTTAGTTTAATCATTTTAGAACAGAGATATAAGAACCAAGCAATTATTCAGAGAATTCCCTTCTGGTAGAAAGAGTCATTAAAGAAACTCTAGGATAGGTCACGTCGCAAGGATGCTGCTGGACACAGAATCAGGTCATGGCATTGCATGTGTGCAAGGGATAGTTCTCCCACACTCTAAAGAACTAGTGGATTGTCTTCTTCCACAGTGGAAGTACTTATTTCTGCATGACATAGGTGAATCAATGAGGTAATTTACAAGTGAAGCCTCTCTTTCTTTGATGTTTCCTTAAAATTATTTTTATGTACACAATATTTGAATAAATTGTTTTTTTTAAAAAAAGCACGTATAGTTTTAGTTATGATTATTAAGCAAACATAATGTATATAGGGTAATATTCCTGCCTCCACACTTCAATATCATTTCCCTTTCCAAAGATAAGAACAATTAGCAGTTTGGGCCAGGCGCTGGGGCTCATGCCTGTAATCTCAGCACTTTGGGAGGCCGAGGCAGGTGGATCATGAGGTCAGGAGATCGAGACCATCCTGGCTAACATGGTGAAACCCCGTCTCTACTAAAAATACAAAAAATTAGCCAGGCATGGTGGCGGGTGCCTGTAGTCCCAGCTACTCAGGAGGCTGAGGCAGGAGAATGGTGTGAACCCGGGAGGCGAGCTTGCAGTGAGCCGAGATGGCGCCACTGCACTCCAGCCTGGGCGACAGAGCGAGACTCCATCTCAAAAAAAATAAATAAATAAAAAATAAATTAGCAGTTTGGCCTGTATGGCGCCACTGCACTCCAGCCTGGGCGACAGAGCGAGACTCCATCTCAAAAAAAAAATAAATAAATAAATTAGCAGTTTGGCCTGTATCCTTCAAGGCTTTCCCCTGTGTATTTATATACATAGCCATAATTTTTGTTTTGTTTTAATATATATAAGACTCATACTATATGGATTATTCTGATTTTTGTTTAACAAAACAAAATGCTTTGGTGAACTTTCCATGTCTTCTCATACTTCCCACTGGTAGCCATTTGGGTGGTTTTACTTCTTACAACTTACAATACGGAAATGAACATTCTTGTCCTTGTTTCTTTGTACACACGAACAAGCGTTTTTTGTTTTTTTGTTTTTGTTTTTTGTTTTGTTTTGTTTTTCCTAAAACTTTTAAATTTTCCTTAAATTTAAAAGTAGAATTGCTGAGATAAAAGTACACATATATTAATAGCTATCACCAGATGATCATACCAAAAGTTCATGTCAATTTAATAGGGACTAATTTTATTAAACCCTCTCACAGAATACCTAGATGATTACATTATTTTCCCTTTTAATATGTTAATACAGTATATTTTATATATTTCCAAATATTGTATATTCTTGAATTCTCAGAATAACCATATTAGGTGATAATATACCATTCTTTTGAAGTACCACCGAGTTTAAATAATTTTATTTTGCTTTATTTTACATAGGTTTTTTACATCTATGTTAGAATGCAACTTTGGCCTATCACTTTATTTATGTGTGCCATCCTTGTAAGCTTGGTAAAATCATTTAGGTAGCTTTCCATTATTTTTAATGACTTAAAAGTTTATAAAACATAGCAAATGATCTGTTCCTTCAATTTTTGGTAGAGTATGCTTTTAAACTCTCTGAGTTTAATGCTTTTTATAGTGCCAGAACTCTGACATATTTTCAGCTATTTTTATTATTATTGATCTGTTACAATTTTCTAATTTTTACTTCATTAATGTTATTTGGTCAACTCTAGAAAATAATCTATTTCATCTAAATTTCCAAATTTATAGAAACAAAATTATGCATATATTCTTCCACAGTTTCTTTTTTAAAATATTTTTTTATTTTACTGTGGTAAGGATACAACCTGAAATCTACCCTCTTAATAAATGTTCAAGTACACAATAAATATGTTATTGTTGACCGTAAGTCCAATGTTGAAGAGCAGATCTCTACAACTTCTTCATCTTGCTTGACTGACACTTTATGCTCATTGATTAGTTACTCCCCATTTCCTTTTCCTCCTAGCCCGCAGCAACCACTTTTCCACTGTTTGATTCTATGAATTTGACTATTTTAGATTCCTCATATAAGTAGAATCCTGAGATATTTGTTTTTCTGTGACTGGCTATGTCACTTAACATAATATCCTCCAGGTTCATCCATGTTTCTCTATTACATATGGTCAATTTATTGTTCATGAAGTAAATGAGAAAATTTACTTTTTTTGTTTTTAGTTTCTAAGTAGACAACTTTTTAGCAATTCCTTTTTTGGTTAAGTTCTAATTTTATTTTTCCATGGTCAGAGAATTTCAACTGGTGATCTCTATGATTTAGAATTTACTGAAATTTTCCTGTGTATTAATACACTATTCAATTTTTTTAAATGTTTCATTGGAATCTGAAAAGTATATACATTTTATATTTATTGGGTATCATTATATATATCCAGTACATTCATACCTAATAGGAGCATAATTATACATTTATATAAAAATTTATAATCAAACTTTATAATTATGTTATTTAATTCTCCTAGCTTTACTTAATTTTTGTTCACTTTGGTTTATTAGAGAGGTATGTTAAAGTTTTCATCCCTGATTAGAGATTTTGCCACCTTCTCAATGCATTTCTAAAAGGTTTTGCTTAAGATAATATTTGTAGATGTACTAACATTTATGATTATTGGATCTCCTTGGTAAATTATATCTTTAATGCATGTATAATAGTCTTCCTTATTGTATCTAATCAATTTGTTTTTAATTTGATTTTGTCTTATACTAATATTGAAATATTTCTTTTATAACTGCCATTTGTTTTGTTTATTTTTTCCATCCCTTTACACTTAGGCCTCTGTGTTATTTGGTTTTAGGTATGTTTACTTTAAATAACATCTAGCTATTATCATTATTAGTGTTGTCTATCATCATCATCATCATTCTCATGCTCATCCAACTAGGAAACATATACTTTAAAAGGTAAATCTATCCATTCATATGTAATGCAATTACTGATATTTTGAGATAAAATCTTTCCAATATATTTATATTTCAATGAATCATGTAGGCATTTTTTCTATTTGTTCTTTGTCTTGTATTTTTTGTTTTTTTGTTTCTCTTTTCGTTGAAATGAATGTTTTCTTGCTCTACTTTTATTTACCCTAATGATTTTTAAGTTATAAATACTAATTTCTAATGGTTACTATCAAACACTTAAGCTACATTTTGAAACTTGTATTTTTCTACCAATATTTAGAGTTAATAATCACCATGAATATTCTCCAACCCACCAAGACAAAAATCTTAGCAGGATTTTATGTTCTTCATATTATTTTCAGAGATTATCACCCCCTTACTCTCCTATTCATCATGGCCCAACATGTGATCTTATCTATTTGTGAGTGTATGAGTCAACAATTACTTAGACTTAAATGTATGCTGTGCTAGTTTTCTTTCTAAATATTATTTCTCATATAACTCTTTTCTGTATATATTGTTTCACTTTGTTAATTACATACTTAAGTTTGTGTTCCAAAATAGATCTGTAGGAGATATGTAAAGTCTATGTTTTTCCATCCCACTTGAATGTTGCTTTGACTCAATACCCTTAAAACCTTTAAGATAATGTCCCATTGTTCTTTATAATTAGTATGGCAGATGAGAAGCCTGATGACAACCTACTTCTCAATCCTTTGTATATAGGTTCCTTCTTATCTCCTCCTTGCCTCCCCAGGAGCTTTTGGAATGTTTACATCTATGCTGTTGGAATGTTAAAAATATGTTTGTTTCTAGGCTCTGTCTAGATGTAAATCTTAATTAATTACCTCTGTTTTGTGCTTGAATCCCTTTAAAATGAAAATATTCTTCTTTCAGCTCAGAAAAATTTGATTTTAAATTTTTCCCTGATTTCTCCTTTTATAACTGCTAGGATTATATGTTAAACTTCTTGAATTTATTCTCTATTATTTTTACTTTTCTTTCATATTTTCCATCCCTTTATCTTTTTACTTCTTGTCCTAGAAGATGTATACAAATTCCCCTTCCAGATCATTAATTCAGTTGTCTCCAGTCATTCATTCAGGCTTTCTGTTTTGTCCTTTTAATTTCTAAGAATGATTTCACATTCATTCTCTGGTTGCTTATTTTTTATTACAGCCTATTTTAAATTATAAATGCAACATCATCTCAAATAAACCTGAAAGTATTAATTAGCACATTTAACACTGTCTGCTGTTCCATTCTCTGGTTCTGTTGCCCAGGCTGGAGTGCAGTGGCACAATCTTTGCTCCTGCAACCTCTATTTCCCAGGCTGAAGCCGTCCTCCCACCTCAGCCTCCCAAGGAGCTGGGACTACAAGCACACATGACCATGCCCGGCTAATTTTTGTATTTTTTTTTTTTATAGAGACAGGGTTTTGCAATGTTGTCCTGGCTGGTCTTGAACTCCTGAGCTCAAGTGATCCGCCTGCCTTAGCCTTCCAAAGTATTGGGATTACAGGCGTGAGCTATCACTCCTGGCCCAATTGGAGATTCTTGATTTTCAGGGACCACATTGACTCATATAAGTAAATGGCATTGTTTTCCTTTATGTTGTACAATTTTATAAACTTAATAGTTCTCTCTCTTGTGTGGAAGAACTAGCTGTGGGTGCAGAGTATATGAGCACAATTGTGGAAGAAGCTCAACTCTCAATTTGATTCAAGTGAGTAATTTGTCTAACAATGTTCAGGCAAATTTACCAGCATGGTTTTTCAAAGGGAGATCTATGGAGCACCCACATGAAAATCAGCCTTAGTGGTGATAAGAATGAACATTTGACCCCAGACTTTCTCCATCAGAATCTCTGAGCATAGGGCCTTGGAATCTGCATTAGTTAACAAGATTACAGCTTTCCCTGATGCACAATAAAGTCTGGGAAGCACAGTATTAATAGCTAAGTAACAGGTCATTATGGGTGCTTATGTGATCCCAGACACTGACTCCATGAACAACACTAGGCAAGCTATTCAGATGATCCAAAATGTGAATATGCAATACACACACACACACATACACACACACACAAATTCTTTTACCATCACAACAAAATCTTAAAATGTTGAAAGTCATTGTAGAAGACATATACATGGACAATGTATTTAATCCTTATAACTATCATGAGGCATTTCTAACTTTCATTTTATAAATGAGATAACTGAGCATTAGAGAATTATACTGATTAGGGTTACAGAGCCAGTAAGTGATGGATGTGGGAACCACATCTAGTATGGCACACTGATAGTCTGAATAATGGCCACCTAAAATATTGAGGTTCTAATCCTTGGAACCTTAGAATGTTACCTTATATGGCAAAATGAACATTGCAGATGTGATTAAGTTAAGGTTGTGAGATGGGGAGATTATCTGAGATTATCCAAGAGCATCTTACCTATAATCACATGTGTCCTTCTAAAAGGGAGGCAGAGAGAAAATTGACTATAGAGTAAAAAGGCAGCAATGTGATGACTGAAGCAAGACGCTACACAGCTGGCTTTGAAGATGGAGAAAGAAACCACAACACAAGGAATGGAAGAAATGCATCTCCAGACACTGGAAAAGGCAAGGAAACAGATTCTCCCCTGAAGCCTACAGAGAGCATGGCCATGCCTATGCCTTGATTTCGAACCAGAGAAAGTGATTTTGAATTTCTAACCTCCAGAAATATAAGAAAATAAATGTGTGTTGTTTTAAGCCACCAAGTTTGTGGAAATTTGTTATCACAGTCATCAGAAACTAATGTAAACACTAATTAGGTCTGTCCACAAATATTCTAGTTCTCTTCCCAAGTCCAAAGCAAGGTTGTACTTCTCTACCTTGATATGAAGTTAGTACTGACCATGTGACTTGCTCTGGCTGATAAAAGGTAAGAAGTGACATGTGTTAGTTCTGAGTGGCAGTTTTGAGAGTCAGACTACAATTTATCACATTCCCTCCTCCTTGCTCTGGTGATCACAGAATCATGTGTCAAGAGCAAGTTTCTATCAGCCTTGGGTCCTGAGTGAACTATGATGAACAGAAATCCCTGGAAACCTATACTGAATATATAGCAAGAACAAGATGTCAGCCTCTACATGTCAAGTCACTGGTATTTGTGCACTGTTTGTTACTGAAGCCTAATCCAGCCTATCCCGACGAATACAGATTATGAAATCTATACTCATTCCACAGAAGCAAGATGTTGCCTCTGTGTGCATTTGACCACTCTCCCTAGACTCCCAACATATTCCTAGTATTTTTGAGTCATTTTTACCTGAATTCCCTAGAATTCTGAACAGTCTCTGCTGCATACTACGGAAACATTGACTGAATAGTTGAGGTAGTTATACAAAAAATTAAAACTGAATCCCAACTTCCTTCTTATGCCTTCGTGCACCCCTCCCCACACCATTCTCTCTTTCTGCATGATAGTCTTTGTTTGCAACCATCATAGAAATCCTTCTCTTTCCCTGTGCAATGGACATGAATGAGATCATTGTTCCTGTACTGACATCAAATGGGAGGGAAATTGAAAGCAGTCAGACTTCAGTATCAGAGTCACACTCACTACCAAACCATAGACTGGTATGTATGGGCCACCACTTGACCTTCACCCACACAGCTCCTGAAAGTCAGAAGGTAAGCATTATCACATGTTTGCTTCCCTTATGCAGATTATATTTGCTTTTCTCTTGGAACATCCCAAAGATGAGGCTATCCTGGCATCTTCTTCCCTTCCCTAACCATTGCTTCCAGCCCAAAGCATGATAGATTAACATTTACAGTTATTTGATTCTCTTTAGAGAGATTAAGGCCGTGATATTCTAAAGCTGAGACTGCTACAGCTAACCTGTATAGATAATGCAATCCAGACCTCCTGTGAAAGGTACCATCTCTGAAATGTACTTCCTTTTACATTGGGCTATAGTATTCTTACATGGGGCTATATTGTGTCATGTGATTTGAAGATTTGCCTGACCTGCCGCTGTGATCTGATATATCCTTAGGAAGCAATGGAAAATGTCGAAAACAAAAAGCAACATGTTAGCGAAACCCTGCTTCAAATTAAAGCCCTGCCTTTATTGGTGAAGAGATCTGCTAAAAGCTGTTATTTGAAATATCTGCAGATAGTTTGGATCTGTGAATAATTGCTATCTGCACATCTCAAATTCCTTATAGTTTTCCGTTAGACATATCTGTGAGAGGCTATAAATAGTGAAGCAATGTCGCTCACTGTATAATACAGTCTCTCTGCTTTTACAACTCATCATGAACTTCTGTGTAATTTATTTTTTATTGAAGAATTCCAATTAATGGCTTCCTGGTGATTTTAAAGCCTCAAATTATCAGTCTCTGAAAACAAAGCAGAGAACATAATTATCATAAACTGAGAATTTTTCATTTTGAAGCTTATCTGTTTGTGCTAAGTATCTTGTCTGTAAGTAATTAGTGCCTTTATTTTTTTTCAGTAAAAATAATGACCACTCTATGCCACACATCCAAATTTTGTTAACTGCTAGATGCACTCTATGTATTATATCTGAAAATGGACCACCTTGGACTAGTTTTAAAGTATTTCATCAAATGATAATAGCAACAACAAAATACATCTGTTTGTCAGAATAAATTATGTGGCATGTATTTTAAAAACCTATTATATCCTTTTGCTTTCTTTCTAAGAATAAAAGCCTCTGAAAAATATGTACTTGCCATTTATTACCAGGGCTGCATAACAAGAAAAGACCCGTTTTATCTTCCATTTATAATTCCTAACTGCTAATCAAATTGATCAGCCAATAGCTTGGTTGTAGAGGGTCTTTCATAGGACCATTTCAAAATGTTTTACCAAAGATAAAACAAAATTCAATGAAATTAAACCAATTTGAATGACAATGTGAGCCAAACATTCCTTTAGGTATCTAGAGAACTCAAGTTTTCTTGATTAAAAAAAAATAGGGTTTCACTGATGAAATAGGAATTGCCTAGAGAGACTAAGAGAGACTTGGTTGCTCTGAAGCCAAACAGAATCCAAGAGCAGCTCTCACCACAACGTTAGGAAGTTAACTTCATTGGTTGTTTTTTAATTAAAAAATATATATATTTTTTAAATTATAAAACTAACACACGTACCTTAAGAAACTTTAAAAATACAGAAATATATGATGTAAAGCACCCATTTACCATTTTTAATGTCTTGTCATGTCTTTTCAGGGAAAGAGAAATATACACATATATATGAGTATGTATATATGTGCCTATGTGTTTGTATAAATATATATATAAAGAGAGATTTTTTTGGAGGATGAAATATATATAGTTGGATCTTTCTTGTTTCATCTATTACTATGAATTTTCCCTAAAACACAAATTATTCATTCAAAGCATGATTTTAAATAGCTTCACATTTTATAATAGAGTTGTATAGACAAAAATTTAACTATTTCCTTATGTTGGTCATTTATGACATTTCTAATTTCTTTTTTTATAAAAAGTTGTACATCAAACATGTCTGTATGTAATTCTTTGAATATATTGCTGATTATTTCCCTAGAGTAAAATCTTAAAAGGCTACTACCAAGTCATAGGTGTAAACATTTTAAAGCTTTCCCTCCGTTCGTGTTACAGAACTGCCCTGTGGAAAGATTCTAACAGTTCACTTCCCTGTCACTGGATAAGCAAGCCCTTTTGCACATACCCATGACCATGGTGAGTAACAGAACACCATCGCTTACGTCTATGCTAACTTGATAATAAAAGGTGGGATTTCTTCATTTTTACATGTTTTGATAGGTCATGAAGTGAAATAAATTTACTATACAAATGTAGTAAACATAACATTTATATTTATATTTTGTGTATATTTTGCAAGGCATTAGGTTTTTTTCCTCATCCATCGATAGGAGCTTGTCATATAGTATGTGTGTCTTTTGTCTTGCATTATTTTGGCAAAAATTTTACCTCAAATTGTTATTTGTCTTCAATTCTGATTCTATTGTTGATATCAATATATGCATTTTTATGTAGTCTATTGTTATTACCTCTTTTTTGCTTCTACACATTTTTTATACTTATAAAGTCTTTACCCATTAGAGATATGGTACATATATATTTACATGTCCTTTAATGGCTTTATATTTTTAAATTGATCTCTTTAAGATATTAACAATTTATTTTAGTGTAAATGACAAGGTAATGTTTTAAGTGTATATTTTCAAATTGTAAAGCAATTTTCCTAAGACCAATTTATCAATTAACCATTTTCTTCCCTGGAAATCTGTGATATTATCTGTATCACATTCTAAATTCCCATAGATATGAGTCTGGCTTGCTGCTATCTACTTCATACCATGTATCCATCTGCTACATTGTTTTGCTTGTTTTAGTCTGGTGGTAGTTTGGACTGTCAAATAGAGAATTCCCATGGCTTTACGCTTCCTTTAAAAAATACATTGTATATTTTGAACTATAGTTGTGTTTTTTTCTCAAAGAAATCTTGCAGTCATTTTGATACATTTAATAAAATAATCATATTTTTGAAACAGCACTAAATTTATAAAAATAATTTAGGAATGTTTGTATATATACAATAAGTAGCCTTCCCATCCATGAACAAGTTATATCTTCACATTAATTATCTAATGACTCTCAGGAAAGTTTTATGGGTTAATTCATATAGTTTCCCCTTTTACCCTGTTCTATTTTTTATTTCCAATGTCTAGCAAATTCCTAGCCCATCAACTCACACAATAATTTATTGTTGACTGAAGTAACTAATTTGTAGTTTCAAGCCCTTACTCTACCATTTATTAGCGCTGTAATCTTGAACGAGTGCCTTAACATCTCATAATCTCAGTTTCCTCAACTGTAAAATAATGCAAATATTGCATCGACTTAATAAAATTATGAGAACTCATTGAGATTACTTAATACACTTAGCACAGCAACTTACATATATTAACGCCCAATAAACATTAATGAATACCATCCTTATCTGGAGGGCATGTCAAAGGAAAAAGCAATAGAACATGCAATCAGAGATGGAAGCAAGAGAAAATGAAGAACCGATCGTGACTCCAAAGTGGTAAGGCTGATTTAAATGGAAAATCTTAAAATAACAACTATTGATTGTCACTGAAAAGTAATCAGTGTTTTCAGATTTTGTAGGCACCAGAACTTGGCTTAGAAGTAAGCCCTCCACACCTGGAGAATGAATGTAATGTTGGCAAAGAGTCTGATGTGACCAGAGCCCATGACGGTCCCCAGGCCATAGAAGGCTTTTTCCTATGAGCATTAATAGTAACAGGCCTAAGCCACATGGAAGAAACACATAGAAGTATTTCTGGAAGTAGAGAATACAATAAACTCACCCTTACCTCAAATATAGACTGTTTACTCTGTAAATAAAGTGAGAAATTAGAGAAATTATCCAAAAAATTCAAAGTCTCTTTCAAAAACAGTCGACTACTTGGTCTGCTATCATTTGAATATGGTGCTTAGATATTGAGCCCGGGTGCCCAAGCTGGATAATAGTTTCCATTCTCTACTTCAATATTCACATAGACCCAGCCATAGTGTCTTAAAAAAGCTAAGGACTAACTTTAGCCACTGGCCCTGCTTTCAATAAAGCCTTATTTTAATAGAAACATTGTGTCTCTCTTCCAAGTCCCACCTTTTTTAGGCAGCCTGCCAGCTGAAGGCAAAAAGAAATTCTAGCACATTGTCCCCAAATTCCAGGCAGATCACAAAAATAAACTGTCCCAGAATGTATTCCTTTTATGAAAAATTGCTTATTCAAGGCTTGCTTTTCTTGTTTGCCTTCCTTCTTCCCTTTCCAAACACTTTTTCTTCTAACATCATGCTGTAAAGTTGCCATCTGTCTCAAACACATACATACACAAAAGGGAAATCCACTTACAATGAATACAGGAAAGAAGAAAAATAAGTTGGTTACAAGTGGGTTTTCTAAAGTATATGACTTTTCAAACCCAGTGGTCAAACCCTGAATTACGTCCCAGACAGCTGTCTCCCCATTTGCCACAGAGACAAAAGTAAAAATAAATAAATAACTCTTAAAAAAATACCTTTCAACATTATTCCCCAGGAAATGCTTGATTTTTATAATCCTATGATATAGGGATAGCCAGGAATTAAACTTTAAAAATAAGAAAACTGAAACTCAGAAAGACGATTCTCTATTGAAGACCACACATGAGAGTTTCAAAGTGTGGGTCTGAGGCAGAAGCACCTGGGGCAATTGTTAGAACACATCTCTTGAGAGCATAAATTGGATCATATCATTCCTCTGCTAAAAACCACTCAACAGCTGCCCATTGCAATTCGAAGGAAATCATGCCCAAGTTTTACACTCCTCACTACAGAGCACAGGACATGCCCCTGGCTGCCCTCAGACCTTGTAGGTTGCCCCGCTTCCCTCCCCAACTCTCCCTGCCAACTCTACCCTTCTTTGCAGCCCCCATTCACACAAAGTCTTTCCTCCTTACTCAAGTCTCAGAAAAGCCATCCCTGTCCATACTAGCAAGTACAGCTCCACACAACCATATATCAATCTATTATATCTTAAATGTACATTATTTATCAAACTCTAAATTTCACTTATTTATGATGCATTTATAGGCTATTTCCCTGCCCCCTCAAACACACACACACACACACACACACACACACACACACACACACAGACTTAAAGCTTCATGAAGGCAGTAAATTGTCTTATAAAACAGAGATAGTTCTAGCACTGAGAACATGAAGCATGAAGTAATACTGTGTACCTATTGTCCAAGAAAATGCCGCTGACTAAGCACTACCTCAGACCCGTGGAGCTTCTATCTAGAGGAGCAAGGGTCTGGGATCTGCATTATAAATAGTTCTCTAGATGACTTCCATGCACATTCATGTTTCAAAACTCCAGATAATGAATGCTTCAGCCAGGGGTGGAACAGATGCCCCTAACTCCTGATGCCCTGCTCTCCATGACACCAACCAGCAGGTTTCCAATGGTCTATTTCAAATGGCTGCTCCAGCAGGAGAGTTGTTTGGAGATTCATACTGGGCTTTAATTGTAGATGTTGTGGATGCAGATTAAGTGGTACCTCAAACTGCTCTTCCAAAAATCAATATTTCTGTCTCTTATGTGGGCCTGGGCTTTGATGGGAAGCCTCAGATGTATTAGTTCAGGCGGACAGAGAGAACATTCTACAAGGAGCTGGGCGTATGCATGGTGGATTCATTGGCCATGGAATCTTGGGAAACTTGAGTAACTGTTCAGGGTATCATTTTCCTCATCTGCAAAGGGAGGGTATTGAGTTAGATGATCTCTACAGTCCCTTTCCCCTAGAAACTTTTGGGTGCCAAGTTATTCCAATTATTCGAAAGAGCCCTTGCAGTTGTATTCAGGATTGTGAAAGGGACTCTGAACAGCCCAGCACTTCTGACATTTGTCCCAGCCCAACCACACTCATCTAACCCCTGCCTAATGCCAAGTGGCTTGCCTTGTGTCAGAAAATCAAGAACATATCCCATTCACTTTGAAAAACAAAATGCATGTGTGTTGAGTCCATCTGATTCCACTTAGATGCCAGTAAGGGATGTTTTGGTTGAGCACCTGATAGGATACTCAATTGTTTTATTTGTTATAAAATTCTAACATCTGTCAATGACCCAAATAGAATGTTCCTCTGCCTTTCATCTTTACACCACACACACACACACACACACACAAACACACACACACACACACACTTTGGAGAACCTACTAAAGGGAATCCACACTTGTTCCTTTAAGGAACTCTCAAGCTAGAGTGTCAAGCTTCATGTCTTAACTTCAAAATAAAGGTGGAATAATATCATCCTGGTTTTCATAAAGGAAAGGGAAGGGCTATCTTTATTTGCCAGAACTGGCACTAAGCAGTCCCTGGTGTTCACTGCCAGGCAGTTATTTAAAACAGGAGCCAGTTGGTGTATGATGGGGGTGGCATGGTGCTAGCGGTAGATAGGAGGCAAAGCTGGTGAATAAGCAAAGGTATGACTGGGTGATCACATTCAGAAAGCAGGCAGGATTAGATCATTTTAGTTACATACGCCAAAAGGAAGGGGCTGAAAAAGAAGAGTAAAATTTACCACTACGTTAAAGTTTTTCTTAACTAAACTTCTAGAAATTTGCTTCTCAATGTTGGTTGAGATTCCTTTTTAGTCCCCAGTACTTACAACACATCTATCCTTGGCATATAAGATCCCTTCAATTTAGAAGGAAAACATATCAGCTGATGAATTACAAATACACTCCCCTTTCAGTGTCACTCTATATTTAAATGAGTTTAGATGATTTATATGTATGAATGTAAATATAAGATGCATGAGGTGTGCATATAAGCGGACTACCTGATTTCTTAAGCCTCACACACAAATCAGTCTCCTTACTTTAGGTCTCACTTCTTATGTGAAAGATAACTGATGGTATCACGTTTCCATGTTAAAAAAAATATGAATTATCAAGCACTTCATTTGGGTGCTTCTGTTTATACATTGATGCCCAAAAATCCATGCTGGGAAAAAGAAAAAACGTGTTGTAAATTTGATGAGGCCACACCACCTAATAAGGACCAGCCAGCGTTATTTGTTCAATAAATAAGCAACGGGGTTGGGAAACAGGCCTGGACCTTCACTTTCCCCAACATATAAATGTGGTCTCCTTTATCAAACATTACCCTGTTGTTGACAGTTAGCCGGTACACAGATACAGGGTTCCATTAAGACTGTCTACTTTCCTATTTCAACAGGCATTGTAGATGTGATCAAGAGTCTGTAAATGCTACTTAAAACACTAACTGCATTATACAATAGTGTAAAATGTTAGTCAAGGAAAAATGATTACTAAGTACTAGAAAGGGAATTATAATAGTATATTTGAGGGCTAGCAGAATTTTTGTAACCTGTATCAGCTAAGATAAGAGTATCTATTGGTCATTACCAGAAAGTACATTTCCCCTCATCAGTCCTATATGGTAAACTACTGTTTAAAATGCAAGAGTTAAAAATTACACAAAGATCTCATAGTTTCTATTTGGAATATTCTTAGCCAAGTCCTTCAGTGGAATTACCCCCACCAAGCTCCTTTCTGTGGAAGCTACATTTTATCAATCATGTGAAGACAGACCTCATTAATTCATTGGATCCTCTTAAAAAAACACATCTTCAGGTTGAAAGGGGACCATCTAAAGAGAGAGAGGGCTCTCTAACTTCTGACAGTTGTTCTTTGTGATTTAATAATGTCAAGGGAGGGATTAGAGAAGGGAGGGTAGGAACAGATCTAGAATTTTCTAGGAAGCCAGTCTAAGCAAGGCTCTAAGAAAAGTCACTGAAAATGTCAGCCCAGCCAACAGAGAAAGGCTCGGAGAGCAGCTAAGACATGGCATATACATTTTCATCTATTCAATCTGACCCTGGGCCCACTGCCATAATCTTTTTTAAGGTTAGTGGTGGGAAGGCTGCCACCTGAATGTTTGTAGAGGTCTCCTAACATCCTCCGCTGAGGAACCTTAAACCTCAGGTACTATTTCAGAGGAAATGGACAGTGCAAAACAGACAGAAAATTAACTGCAGCAGACCTTGGACCTAAATAAGTTCCACCAGCCTTTCTGAAATCACTTTAATGGCTGGGGATTGGGGGAGTGGAGGGGTGAATGGTGTGTGTATTTGTGTGTGTGTGTTCGTGTGTGTGTTTGTGTGTGTGTGTTTCCCCAACTTGGGCCCTGGCCCAAGTATTTTAATAGGTACAACACAGAGAAGAGAAAAAAGAAAAAAATATTTAAAAGGAACAATTTAAGCAATTTAAAAATTCTTTGCAAAAAATAATATAAAGCAAGACTTTAACAAAATTGCAGCTATAGCAAGTCTATGAGGGTAACTTAGTAAAATACTCTGTGGATGGCTGCAAACCTCTAATGGAAAGTTGTATAAGTGGCTGAGGCCAAAGTAGGCATTAATTACAATGAAAAATCAGTTTAGAGTAGGCCACAACTAAATTGGAAGCTGGTCCTCTAGGTAAAACAAAGAAAGTGAACAGCAGCCTCAGATTTGATTACATGGCAATACAAGAAAAATGTGCTGTATGTTGTCTATTATTAAAGCTGCTTTGGGGCCCTGTGTTGCGTGCCTCAGGGATTCTAATAAAAACTTAGTAATAGGTCTGCTGCCCTGGCTCACTGTGGCTTTGTGGAGTATTTGTGGGTTCAGGGCTGGTCCTGCAGTGCAAATTAAGTCATTTCAGACAAGCAGCCTCAGAAAGTGTTATGTGATAGCAAAGTTCAAATACTACAATTTGGCTCTAAAAGGACACAGCCCCCCACTGGAGTCTGATTCAGAGTTTCAAAGAAATAATAAAATTTCATCAGAATGAGGAGGAGGGGGAAATGAAAAGTAAGAAAAAGGAAAAAAGGGAAGCAACTAGTTGTTTCTGTGTGTCTTTGATTACTGTTGCCAAATACTGGTTCTGGTATATAAACTACAGAAGTACCTAAAATATTGCCAGTGAGTGAGTTAATGGCAGACAAGGCAATGGTTAACCTGGGATTTTTTTTTTTTTTGCCTTACAAATGTTAACTCTATAACTCTTTTTATATTGATGTAGTGATATTAATAATATTGTCTTTATTACTAACACCACTGGGTCCATGGCATAACTGTATATATCTGAGCCATGAAACATTAACAAAAGTTCACCCTGATTAAGAAATCAAGCTAGTGAATCTATATTCTTTCAAAGAGGAAAATGTCTGGAGACAATTATGTCCTATAAAAGAGTTATGTAAAGGAGATATTTCCCAACTTTTTCTAGGTTTGCAACAGACCTGATCGCTGGCATTTGCTATCAGAGACAGTCCCTGGTCCCATCCAAGGAAAGACAAAAATGTGATACAGTTCAAATCCTGATGAATGCTGTGCAGATAAAAAAAAAACTGTGGGTGCGTGGGTAGGAGGTACATTTTCAACCTGGACCTTTGCCTGAATGCTGAATAGGCTTAACAAGGAGACAGAGGAAGAGTTGGCATGTGACCTATAAAAGAAGCGTATGCCTGTGTGAGCACGTGTGTGTGTGGTGGCAGGGTATGCTGGGGTGGAGGGGGTGGTGTGAGGCAGAAAGAAAATTGAACTTTAATCCAAATAATTCAAAAATTCTTTGTGATAGGAATTTTTTAAAGTTTCATAAATAAGGGAAATATCAATTTATGTCCATGAGGAATTTTCCTCATCCAACATCAAATAAGACCCAGTTTTAAGGCTTGCCTAATCTGTTGTTGGCAGAGGATGTGGCTGCATAACTTAATTGATTTCAAGAGGTTTTAGGAAATCTCTATTGGCCCCAAACACCTTCTTCTCCTATCTGATTACTAATACCTGAAATTATATGAGTTAGAGAGCTATTCCTTTAGTTTAAAGCATTGGCTGCTATTAAAATGCAAATTATCCCGGAAAATCATCTTAACATGGGAGTGAATAAAGAAACAGAAAGCACAGGAAGTCATATGGAGGACAATTGGATAGGGAGTTGGTCTAAGAAGACTGAGAACAAACTTCATCAAAGCCATAACTTCTCTAAGGGTCATCTCTCAGAGCTGCAAACATTCTCTATGAAATCAAGGAAGAGTTGCCTTCTGCTAAGGACGGAAGCAGGAGAATGAGAAGGTGCACTTCACATGGGAAATCACCACAGTTTCAGAGGACGGAGGTCATATAGACTTCCAAAATAATCATGCCTCTCCATTCAGGCCCACCACGAATATCTGCAGCGCATTTACAAGTTGTCAAATGCTGTTTGAGCTGCTGTGAAATCAGAAGTGGAAAGATAGTTCTCTTTGTTATCATCCCCAGGTTCCTAGGGGCCAAAGTCTCATACAATTTTGCTCTTCTCAAGTTGTTGAAAAGACAGAGTCAAAACGCACAAGGAGAACATGTGAGAAAGAAAAGATCAGCAACATAAAAAAGACAGTGAGAGTCACAGTTTAGCTCAAGTACACAAAGACCTGGTAACACTAACATTCATTCAAAGTTATCAACTGGAAGACAGTAACAGGTAGCTTTGTTTCTTCCAGGACCTTGGTTGGGGTGAGCATACCATATTTCTTTTCTGATTATATTCACTAAAAACCTGGGTGGCAATGACTAATGTGTTGTACTCCAGCAACAACACGAGTTTCAAAACAAACTGTGCACTATCACCTTCTACTGATAATGCATTACATCATCTTAAATATTTTCAAAGTAGGGTACCCAGTTTTTCAGGAGTTACATAATGATCTTGATAAGGATAATTCATATGTATCTCTTGTTCAATAAATAGCAGTCTACCGAGTTAAGATTATATATATATATATATATATATATATATATATATATATATATCCAGGAATCTCAGAATAAAAACCTCAGAATGGAAAAATCACATATTGAGATTTGAAGCAATGATAGACTACTTCTGTTTATACATATACTTCTATAGACTATTTTTAACACCCTTTCAAAGTGGAGATTTTTCCATAATTCTTTACCAACAGATAATCTTATAAAAGTAAAACTTTCCAACCTGTATATTTTTTCTCAGTGCTTATTACTCCTTTCTTGACCTATGTCATCTGCACAAAAACTTCATGCAGAGGCTTGACTAAGCCCACAGGCACTCAGTATTGAAATAATAAGTATACATATTCCCATATTATTCAATGATATTTTATGTGGAAGTCAAAATACTTACTGAAATTTAAACTGAATTCATTGAATAAATCTCTAGCTCCAGATGAGTATGGAAAGAAACATAGAAATTTCTAGTAGAGCTGTCTCCTGTACAGAGTTCTAATTGCCAAGCTGTAAAATGTAAGTGTTTAGTATGCCATATGTGGAGGGATAGATATACAGAATTCACAAGTCCCCAGATCTTCAGCCAGTCCCATAAGGCAGGGCCTGTGTTGACCTTAAATCTTAGTTGCAACTGAATCACCATTACTCATGACAGCACCTAGCACACAGCAGGCAATAAATATTTGCTGAATGGTTGACGGCGATGTCAGAAAAGTCTTGGTAACACTTGCTAAACACGAAAAGATGTCCATTATTAGCATTTAGGAACCTCAAAGTATACATAACAGCAAATTTTTTATGTCAAGTTTCTTCTTTGGGACAATAGTCCCAAAGGGACAAGTCTTTGGAATCAACAAGTGTGTGTGTGTGTGTGTGTGTGTGTGTGTGTGTGTGTGTGTTTATCCTTCAGCTTAGCCTTTAGGAATAAAGCCCAGTCCCTCTCTGCAAAACATTCATCATTTAACAGGTGAGGCAGACAGACAGAAACCCAATAACAATACAGTGTGGTAAGTGTCATAATATCATAGATAGCATTAGTAGAAAAAAGTTTTATGAAAGCACAGTAAAGGCAACTTTCTCCTCTTGCTTCCTAGGGATGAGGTATTAGAGCTGGACTGAACTGAGGCCCAGCTCCAAGAGAAGTTGCCAACAGCAGTCATTGGGAACTTTTACAAGCTATTGTAGTAAAAGGTTTAAGGGGAGGCTATGATGCAAGGAACTGAAGAGTGAAGAGAAAAAGAGTTGTGAGAAGGAAGGGATTTGAAGAGATTGGGTGTTCACTGGAGGAAGATGTATAGCACCCGAAATGGAGAACCAAGAAAGAGGGAATACCTAACGGAGCAATGGTCTCACATGCAGGATGCAGTCTCCAGGAATTATCCTTAAAGGGAGTTGCTATTTCTTTTTTCAAACCAATAGAGAAGGCGGTGTAAAAGGACAAAATATAAATAAACTTGGAATTAAATAGAAAAGGAAGTTAAGAGCACTGCTACCTAATAAACACAAAATAGCTACAATTGAGGATCGACTGTGTTCTAAGCTCTTTGAACACATCATGTAATTGGATTTTCCCAACAATCCTATGAAGTAAGGAAGGTTTTCAAAACAAGGGAAAAAAACGTTTAGAAAGATTAAGTCAACTAGCCAGGGTCACGCAGATGGTAAGTGGTAGGGCCAAAGTTCTAATTTAGCAAACTCCAGCGTCTATGAGCCCATCATTCATGACCTTACTTTTCTTTATAAAAGTAGGGTGGCAGGTTGTTCACTAAAAGAAAGGAGACTAAGACCAAGTTGGTAGTTTTTAGCAAGTGATAATATATTAGAAGGAATAAAAATGGGTTAACTTGCCATTAAAAAGGCATTTTCAGCAGCTTTAAAAGTTCAGCTGAGGTTGGAAATCACACATTTGAATCAATCACTGAAGTCACAAAATTTTCTTCAGCAGTGGCAAAAGGGGAGAAAAGTATTTGGGCTGACCCGGACTTGGAAGGGAATAAAGTCAATAATAAGCTGAAGGTTGAGATAGTATGTAGTTGAAATGATTGACTGCTGTGTCCAGGTCAAATGAGAGACCGTGATTATAAAAGGGAAGATAAGGAGGGGTACAAAGATCTTGATGGAGGTGAACTGACATGAAGGCATGGGAGGGATGAACTATAGATGATACCTAGGAAGAAAAAATTCAGAGTTATAGGTTAAAGAGATTAAATAGTAATGTGATAATCTAAGCCATACAGTTGAGTTGCTAAAGGACTGAAGGTGAGAGATAATGAAAAAAAAGAACACACAGGAAACATTGCTAAGATGTTGTTACATTATCAAACTGGGGTTTGGATATTCCTCAGAAAATAGAAGGAGAGGCCAGGTGCAGTGGCTTACGCCTGTAATCCCAGCACTTTGGGAGGCTGAGGCAGGCAAATCATGAGGTTAAGATCGAAATCATCCTGGCCAACATGGTGAAACCCCATCTCTACTAAAACAACAACAACAACAACAAAAAAAAAACCCACAGAAACTAGCTGGGCATGGTGGCACATGCTGGTAGTCCCAGCTATTTGGGAGGCTGAGGCAGGAGAATCACTTGAACCTGGGAGGTGGAGTTTGCAGTGAGCAGAGATCTCGCCACTGCACTCCAGCCTGGCGACAGAGCAAGACTCCATCTCAAAAAGAAAAAAAGAAAGAAAGAAAGAAAGAAAATAGAAGGAGACTGGTTAGACAGAAAGACCTAAATGGAACAGAATCCTAAAGGAAATTGGAGACATTACTTGAAAATGAGTAAGGACCCACGGGAGAGATAGATAGATGAATGGATGGATGGTGAATGGATGCATGAATAGATGGATGATGAATGGTGAATGATGAATGGATGAGAGATGGAAAATGGTCATGTACTTCAGAGAAGACTGTTAAAGATAATGTGCACTGTCTTAAAATAGCAAAACGAATAGACTAATTATGCCACCATTTGTTTCACCTAAAGGTATGCCACTTTCCTCAAAGAGAATAACAGGTTGGAGACAACCAAAATTTAAAAGTAAGCTACATAAAAACAATAGCACCAAAACATGAGTAGTGGTTCTCTTTGCATGATGGTATTATGTGATTTTTGTGTGATTTTTATTTTTCCCTTTGTATTTTCTTACACTTTCCAAATGTTCCGTAATCAACACATACAACTTTCAGAATGTGAAAAGTTAATGTTTTGAGAAAAAATACCACACTACAGACATAAAAGACACTAGAAATCTAAACATGCTGTGGGCCATGGTGGAAGGCCTGGAAATTTTTCATATTTTAAGTTGTATACACACTTTTAGGCATACATATTTTTTCTGTATATGTATGTGTGTGTATGTGTATATGTGTAGGCATGTGTGTGTACTTAGGCTTTAAACATGGGTATAGAGGACACTAACACATACATGCTACCCCCCAGGAAGAAAGTCAACATTAAGTAATTCTATTTACTATAACAGCAACAATTTCACCCTGAAAACCTGAGCTAAATGTCAAGATTTCTCCCTCAGATTCTGTGGGTGGTCAGCTTTTATTAAAGAATAAATATATCAATATTGCTTGATGATGGTAATAAATAACCAGACCTATAGAGGTCTTCTGAGTGTAACCATTCTGTTTGCTTCTCTTTTGATCCAAGCACTAGCATTGGGACCTCGTTTTTTTCTATCCACTGTAGGGGGTCCCAGACTGTGGCGCCCATTCCACTGACTTTCCGCATACTGCTGTTTGGAAAGGCGTGCTCAGGGACATGAGGGCATAAAGGATTCAGACACAGAATGAAGCCTCTCCTTATGGAAACAATTATGTGGCAGATTCCACTTGGTTTTAAGAAGCAGGCTGTAGAAGGGAAAAGGAAATCCCCCTTTATTTGCAGGAGGGTCCCTGAAAATGTAGCCTGGGAATATTGTTCTACCCAGCTCAAGATGCTCTGGCCCACAGTGGGAGCCTTGATTGGTTCTACTTTCAGATCTTTAAAGAAGAGATAGTACTGTTTCTTCCACAAAGATTCTTCTGCATGTGCTAGTATCAATAAACACTTTGATCAAGGCATGCTTTCTAAGTCAATAGTTGGCATCATGCATATGATCTTAAGCCAAAGGAAATGATTCTGACAGTAATACATTTGAGAGCCGAAAACATGGACAAGGAACCAAACACAAACCCAAACTTTGGGAAACTTAGGATCAGCATTAAACATGCCGCAGCACATCACCCAAACCACCACGCTCTAATATGTCAGCCAACAGAAAATAAGCACTTGTTTTTTAATCTTTCCAAGGCTGTTCTCATAAGGTTTTCTAGGACTATTTCTTCCAAAGTTACACAAAAGGAGGAAAAAAACTGAAATAACAACTTCACAGGAAAGCCACGTTTAGAGGCATTTTCTAGTCTTGCCCATCTACCCTTCCACACAGAAAAAAACCTCAGAGACAAACTCAGGAAAAAAAAAAATCTTTCCAAAAGCACTCTAATTATTTTTTCCTGCATCACCATCATTCAGTTGAACCAAAGCTTCTGTGTTTATTACTGTCCCAACTACTACTAATGAACAAAAAAGGGCTTACATTCCATGAATCTGAGATTTTTTACCTTTTTCAAATGTATCCTAAAGCCCTCCTTAGTCAATATTTCCACAAACCAACAGTAGTAATTAATCCAGGTTTTACTTAAGCTAACAAATGATTCCCCTTCATGATAGCCGTGTAAGCTGATTCATGAATTTGCTAATGTTCTCCAGGTTGCTGACAGAGCCCACTGTTACACAGTAAAGGGGGAAATCATGAGTGATATTAAGACTCTCCTCCCTACTTGTTAAAGTAAAAGCAAGAATTTCAGCAGTTCTGAGGGCCTCGTCTGTACCACAAAAGTTTTGCCTCTGCTGGCCACTCCAGATCTTGTGCTGATCTTCTCATCCTAGAGGTCTCACTGCCTCTGTGTCCTGAAGCAGACATACCCTAGGCCTTCTGAGATAAACACACAATCTCCTGCCTGCTCTACATCAGGCAGTCTGAAGGCAGAGAGGACCTGCAGATACTTGAAAGAAACAGCTCATCTGCTTTGGGAACCAGGGAAATTCATGCCACACTTCCAGGATCACTGGTCTCAGGAGGATTTAACTCAAGCTTGGAGTAAGAGTTGACATCCACAATGTCATCATCATCTAATTCTGTTTCCTCTTTCCCTGCCTTCCTTTGTCCTAGAAGCATTCTGTGATGACTAACAAACTGATTTATTCTGATTAAAAATAGTAGCTATCATTATTCAAATGCTCCCTCTCAATTTCTTCTATAATCTTAAGATACTGATAGACAGAGATAAAGACATAGCGAGAGAGAGACAGAGATAAATTACTGACTTGAGCCTTGGCCTGGGAATTAAGACTTGGCAGCTAAACTGCCACTGTTTGCCCTGCCATATTGAAAGATCTGCCCATCTAAAAAGCCATGGGGTAAAATAGACATTGCTAAGGCTATCGCTGAGGTATGGTAGTCCTAGGAAACCTTATGAGAACAGCTCTGGGAGGAAAAAAATGTTTCTTTTCTATGGGCTGACACATTAAAGAAGGGTGTGGGGTGACGTGCTGTGACATGTTGAATGCAGATCCTAAATTTCACAAAGTTTGGGTGTGTGTTTCATTCCTTGTCCATGTTTTCAGTTCCCAAATGTATTACTGTGAGAATCATTTCCTTTGGTCTAAGGCAGACATTAGAACCTGATCCATTATTTTCTAACTTTCTAGCTCTAATGCTCGATGTTCTGAGTGTGGAGAAAAAGCAGAATATCCTAAAGAAGTTGCTTTGATGGTTGTGATTTCATGATAATTGAGGTAGTTGATGTTGGCAGAAGGAAAAGGGACACTAGCAAAATTGAAATTAAAAATCAGTGCCAAAATGCTTTGGGTTACATAGGGAAAAAACAAGCTAAACTAAACCAAAAACCCTCTTACTATTCTACTATGCTTTTTTTGGCCCCACCCCTACTCTAGAGAAAGGAGCCTATGTAAATGCAACCAACATAAGTTGAAGAAAGCAAGGCAGCATAATAGGTCTTGCTGTGTAGCAATCTAGTGATCTGCATTCTTATTCTAGATTTGTTTACGAAGGCAGGTTTTGTTTTTCCTTCTGAATACCTTCCAGTATTTTATTTTATTTATTTATTTTCAGACAGAGTTTTGCTCTTGTTGCCCAGTCTGGAGTTCAATGGCATGATCTCGGTTCACTGCAACCTCTGCCTCCTGGGTTCAAGTGATTCTCCTACCTCAGCCTCCCAAGTAGCTGGGATTATAGGCATGTGCCACCACGCCCAGCTAATTTTGTATTTTTAGTAGAGATGGGGTTTCTCCATGTTGGTCAGGCTGGTCTCAAACTCCTGACCTCAGGTGATCTACCTGCTGCGGCCTCCCAAAGTGCTGGGATTACACGCGTGAGCCACCGCGCCTGGCCTGTTTTGTTTTTAATCATTACTATTGACCTCCATTTTCCTCAGCTTTAAAATTCATTAAATCTAGCCGGGTGTGGTGGCTTATGCCTGTAATCCCAGCACTTTGGGAGACTGAGGCGGGTGAATCACCTGAGGTTAGGAGTTCCAGACCAGCCTGACCAACATGGTGAAACCCTGTCTGTACTAAAAACTACAAAAATTAGCTGGGCATGGTGGCATGTACCTGTAGTTCCAGCTACTCAGGAGGCTGAGGCACAAGAATCGCTTGAACCCAGGAGTCAGAGGTTGCAGTGAGCCAAAATTGCACCACTGTACTCCAGCCTGGGCAACAGAGCAAGATTCCGTCAAAAAAAAAAAAAAAAAAAAGGATTAAATCAACAGTTATGCCACAAATATTTATTGAGCAATTTCTATATTCCAGATTCTATTCCAGGTACGTATGGGCACATCAGTGTAAACAAAGAAAAAAACAAAAACAACAAAGAAACTTACCCTCTTAAAGCTTACAAGACAAATAAACAGCAAAAATAATAACTAAAATAAAATGTAAGTTACACAGTATGCCCAATAAGTTTTATTGAAAAAACTAAAAAATACACCGGGGGAAGGGGGATCCATGTTGTTGAGGATGGGGGCAGGCTGCAGTGTTAAATAAATAAATCTCAATGAAGAACCCAAGTTCTGAAAAATGACCTGGCAGTGAGGGAGTTGAATGCACTGATATGGGAGCACTCTTGTTACGTGTTTATGAAAAATTAGGGGAGCACTATGGCTGGAACAGAAGGATCAAGGGAAGAAAAAGTAGGAGATAAAGTCAGAAAGCCTCATGGCCTTTGTAACAAGCTTTCAACATGACTGACTTACAGTTTAGAAGGACAGATCTCGCTGCTGAGTTAGGGATAGGTCAACAGAGGACAGGAGATTTGTTAAACTGCTACTGGAATAATGGAGGCAAAAGATGATAGTGACTCAGGCCAAGGTATCAGTGGAGGTTAGATATGTGATTAGATTTTAAATGCATTTTGAAGGTAGAGGTAGTAGTATTTTCTAACAGATCAGAAGTGATAAGAAAAAGAGAAGAGACAAGAAACTGATCTAAGCATTGGAAAGTTGCGGTTGTCATCCACTGAGATTGGAAAAACAGTGACTGGAGCCAAGTTTTACGGGGCAAACCAGGAGGTCCATTCTGGATATGCTGAGTTTGAGATGCCTATTAGATATGCAAGTGTAGGGGTCTGTGGACAGTTGGTGGTAAGCATTTAAAGTTCCAGAGAAAGAGGTCCAGTCTAGAGAGATAAAATAAGAAATAATATGGTTTCAACTGTTTTTTTTTTTTTGCTTTACCATTCGTAACAGATTGGAAAATCTATATCTATAATTAGTATGTTCATATCCCAATTTCTTTATGTTAAGACTATTTGAAAAGAAAGAGAGAACAAAAAAAAAAAAAGAAGGAAGGCAGTTGGGAGGAAGGCAATAAGAAAGTGAAAGGGATCAATTGATTATTAGGAGATTTGCAACCTAACAGTGTATTATATCCCTAGGCTCAGGCTGCTTCCGATAGAGGGCACACTCCTGAAGGGCTTTCAGTCAAATCTTAAAAACTCTTAATTTTGTTTCCCCACTGATACACGTCTTTTAATGTTCTTAAGTCATTCCTGGTAGATCTTCCACTAGAAATGGCTCATAACCTTTTAACTTGAAGTTTATCTACCTCCAACCTTTCAAATAATTAAATATTTAAATGCTCTGGGAAGCTGGCTTTTGTGAAGCAAGAACCTTTTGCAATGCAAATTTTCACTCTTAATTTCTCTGCTGGGTAAAATAAGAGTTACAGGGATTGGGTTTTCTTCTGATGTGTGTAAAATGGAATACATTTCTCCATCTTCTGGGTTCTGGGATGTCCACTCAGTGTCAGAAGGCACCTCTCACAGAACAATCACAAGACAGACAGGAAAAGAGGACATAATGGGAAAAGACAAACCAATCTTAATCGACTCTGGTTTATCTTCCAAGGTGCCGACTGGTACTTTTCTTTAATATCAACTGCCCTGTGTGGAACTGGAACAAGCCTGGACCGCCAGCAGCCTCCAAAGTTGGGCAGGCTGGTGCTTACAGGTGAACCACTGGGCACCAGAATTTTTCGTGCCAGTTTCCATCCCTGATGAGCCTCTCATCACCTGTCCAGCAAGAAGCAAGAAAAGCAGGAGTGCAATTCACTAAACCCAGAGCCCTGGCCCTGCCAGTGACCCCCTACCTGTGGGAAATCAGTGTGTTTACATCTGTTAGAGGAAGGGTTAATCTAGGTTCTGTATTTGCATCCACCTTTAGCTTCTGTTTTGTATATTTCTTACACACTACTGTCCCATAATTTTTCTTCCATAAATTATTCTAAGGCAAGCAAATGTTTCCCTAATACCCTCTTCATTTACTAAGAGAAAATGAGAGAACTTTTTGCCCCCTGAATTTCATTTTAAGGACATAAATACGTGCATTTGAGCAAGTGTGGACAAAGAAGAAGAAAAGAGGGACAGGGCTGAGGCGGGGAGGACTGCAGTACCAGGATTCAACAGAGCCTTGTCTCTGCTGTCTTCATCTGCATTAAATTGGTCACGACCTTCCAGGTGTCTTTAAGGTTGAAGTGTTTGCTGGACCATTTCGAGCAGAGCCCGCTGGTCCACATGGCCCTTCTGACATCAAGAGACAGCTTTTAAAAGAACAGAAGCACCTTGTCAGGGCTCAGGGGTCACTAATAGCCTGCCTTGGGCCCTCCAATAGGTCATGTTCGGCTTCCTCGTCCAACACAAAGGGAAAGGCGAGGGAGGCTGGGGAGGGTAGGGGGATAATTATCATTCTGGTGTTTTTTTCCTCAGGCCTGGAGTTATGCTCCATGTCACTGTGTTAATGTGCCTGCAACCAGGGAGACACATAATGCTCCTCTCAGCCCTGTTTATTAGCAAGATCCATTTGCAAAAGGCCCTTCTTTTGTGCCACAATATGAATGTGCTTTGATGGCAAATAATTACGGCAGTCCTTTTGACATGAAGATCCACAGGCTGCCCTAGTTAAGCCAGTAATTAGCCTGTCCTCCTTTTTTTATTATTATTATTGAGAAACTACAAATTATCCTCATGTGCGCCGGCCATTGCTTTTTCTCCTATTCTCTCACTCTCTTCTGCTCACTCTCTCCCGCTCACTCGTGAGCTCGCTCTTTTCTCTCTCCCTCTCCCTCGTCTCCCTCAGCACTTTGGATAAGTGGAATGCAGCTGCACAAAAGCAAGATAAAGCTGGACCATCAAGATGATGAACAATCTGGATGAAGAGCCTTCGAGACGCACACAAAAGCTGGAGAAGTGCAGTTGATGTAGGCCTGGACAGCTGAAGAATGCTGCGGTCTAACGATGAATAGCCCTCATTTGTGAATATACAGATTTTCCACGATGAATAAAAACTGAGTGGAGGTCACAATAAATAAACTTTTTCCCCCCTTCTTCTTAAATAATAATTCAGGTTCCCGGCACCAAACAGCTGTAAATTGAAGGTTGTGCTTAGTTTTCTCAACTCTCAAAGGGGATAATTAAGCTAAGATCACATTGTTTGATATATTAGTGTAATGATGAGCTCCTATATTCTGCTTGTTTCGAGTTATTTTAGTTTTTCTTTCCCATTATCTGTTTTTTTAATTACATTTCAAATACATTTTAAATGTAGGAACAGCAGTTCTGAAACAGAGTTTGCCCTATGTTTGGATCTATTTGAAATGTATTCATATAACATTTAATTAAAGCAGCAACATTCCCCTTTAGAAAATGTGTGGAGGTAGAAATATCTATATTATCTGACTAGTTCTGACATAATCTTGCCAAAAGGCTGACTCTTTTTCCTTATTGGTGCAAGATAATTAGACCATCATTAACCTCCTGAAGCATCACTGTCAGTATTTCTTGGCGTTATAAATCAGGATTTGGGAAGATTTTCATAATTTTGCTTAAGATCACTGAGAAGGTAAAGATCAGTTCCCAAACATGCTTGGCTTAGAAGATTTCTGAAAATCAGAGTCTGTGAGTATACATGTTATAAAGGAACTCAGCCCAAGGGAAAAGCTACAGTGTCCCTTTGCACCTATAACACCCCCTCCCATTTGTGAAGTCTTGACAATAAAAAGGCCTAAATACAGTCTTGCATTTTATTAACGTAAGTTAGATTGTCATTTTCTTCCAATAATTTTTGAGCTAAAAATGCACTGAAAAGTCTGACTTTCTGTATCAAAAGAGAGAGAAAGTATATTTCTAGAAAAATTTTCCCCCTAATTTTTTGGTAACCATAAAATATTCTTCATTTCCAAAACAACTATTTATTGTCAAGTGTTTAGTATACTGTTTGTTCATTTGATTGCTTATTTTTTCCAGGAATTTTTCTATTTTCACCTATTAGTCCAAGTCTAGAGTAGACCCTACCATATCCACATTCAGGAAGGTTTTCAGATTTAAACCAGGTATGGAAAACAATTTATGAGAAGGAACACTGAGAAGTATGAAAAAGCATGAAGAACCCACCGTTAACTTCATTGCGATCTAAGTTTCACCAAAGAATAACTTCCTAAAGTTTCCAACCCTGGAGACCTTGAATTCAAGAACAACAATTACTCTGATTTGATTATTACACATTGTATGCTTCTATCAAAATATCACATGTACCCCATAACTATTTACAATGAATAATGGTATCCATAATAATTTAAAAGAAAATAAAAAGGAACAACCAACCCATTGCATGATGAGGAACCATCCTTATCTATGACTCCAGTCTATTCAGAGGAACCCTACTGAAAAGCAAGCAACTAAATGTCCTATCTCTATGTTCAACATGAGAGAGCAAGGGTAACAAAAGACAAAAACAAACAAAAAAGTCTGAAGTAGTTGAAGACAAAGGATAAGGAAATCCTAGGAGGAGTCTGAGTCCACTTACAAATTGCACCTAAGGAAGAGTCCTCAGACTCATGAAGTTCATTTCGGCTTTGCTGCATTAATAAACCAGCCAGAGGCAAAGAGAAATTAGGCAATGGGCCTCAGAAAAGGCAATCACTGCCACCTCGGTTTGCTGCCACGTTGGAGATGGTTAACAGACCACCACATCCATTTAGAAATATTACACAGGTTTAGACCAAAGAAAGCTTGGTTTAGGAGTTCACATGGGTCAAATGTGAAATAGCTTAACAAACTTTTAAGATCTAGAAGCAGGCCAGATCTGGTATAAAGTGCAGGCCTGTCTAAAAACTCTGACAGCTCTTTAATATTTCACTCACATACCTTTCTCCCTGAGATGTATTAATTACACCCACAGTTTATTGAATGCCTCCTATATCCTAGGCACTTTTTCAGACTGTGGAATCTAGAAGAGAAACAGAACAGGTCAAATTCCTGCTTTCATGGAACTTACATTTCAGGAGCAGGAGATAGACAGTAAACAAAAAATGAATAAAATACAGCATACCAGGTAGTGATAAATGCTACAAAGGAACATAAGGCAGGAGGATGTGGAGGAAGGAAGCAGTTGTATTTTACATGGGCTGGTCAGGGAAGGACTACGCAATAAGGTGACATTTGGCTCAGAGACCTGAAGTGAAGGAGGTAGCCATGCAAAAGCTATGCAACTTTTGAGGAGAGAATTTTCCAGGTAAAATGAGCCCGAGGTCAAAGGCCCTGAGGCCAGGATATGATTGGCACATGCCCCATTAGTAAGAAAGAGGCTGAGATCGAGGAAGACTGAGCAAGGAGCGAAGGGGAAAGATGAGTAAGAGAACAGATGGGGAGCTATTCTTACCACCAAGCTGAAAGAAACCCTGGTCATTTACTCACTCTGGACTATTAAATACTTTGCCTTGTCTGTCTTTCATGCCTCTAATAAAGTTTAGACATATGAGGTACTGAAAGGAATATTCTAAGGTGATGAAGGCCTGACGGACTCACTGTAGTTTCATACCATGAAAGAGTGGGTGTTGACTTCAAGAAATATGGCACAATTAAAAATGCCTATTGCAAACACAACATTCCTCTCCCACTGAAAAAACAGGCAGAAGATTTGAAAAGGCACCACAAAAGAGGATATATGAATGAAAAAGAAACACATGAAAAATAGTTTAACATCATTAGCCATTAGGAAAATGCAAATTCAAAACTATGAGATACTACTACATACCTATCAGAGTTGTTCACATTAAAAGAAAATTGACAATACAAAATGCTTACACAGATGGGGAGCAACTGGAACTCTCATACATTCCTGGTGGGAATGCAACATGGTGAAATTGCTTTGAAGCATAACTTCACAGTTTCTTATAAAAAGTTAAATGTACACTTAACAATATGACCCAGCAGTTGCACACCCAAGGGAATCACACACCCATGTATCCATATGTGAACACCCACAAACTTGTACACAAATATTTAAAACACCTCCATTTATAATTGCCAAAAGTCAGAAACCACCCAAATGTCCTTTAAGTGGTGGCAAATGGATATACAAATCACAATACATTCATACAATGCCATACACCTGGGCAAAAAAAAGAATGACCTGTGTTATACAAAACAATACATAGGAGAGTCAGTATCATTTTGCTGGGTGAAAGGAGCCAGACTCAAAAGGACACATACTGTCGATTCCATACTGTGTGATTCCATTTATATGACTTGTTCAAAAAGGCAAAATTACAGGGTTAGTAATCAGACCAGTGGCTTCCAGGGGCTAGGGGTGAAGGCAGGGAAACTGACAATAAAGGGAAATGAGACAACTTTTGGGGATGATGGAAATATTCACATCTTAATTGTGGTGTAGGTTACACATCACATAAGTTTATAAAAATTCAGAGAACTGCATAGCTGAAAAGGGTGAATTTTACTGTATGTAAATTATATCTTCAAAAAATGCCTACTGCAATATTGATACATTCTCAGGTAAGAGAGGAAATCTAAAGACTACATATTTTTAAAAATTAATTTTAGCACTCATCATCTTCCCTACTGAAGAAATTGTTAATTTGTTAAGTAGACTATCTTCACCAATAATCTCTTACTGTTGTATGGAAAAATGTTTCTGTAGGGCTGAGGGCAGAGAAGAGACCCGAGATTCAGGCCCTGGGGAGTAGGACCCTACATTTCGGAACTATCTCTGCTCTATTTGTGTCTCCCATTTTGCCAAAATAGACATCTGGGTAAGTCAGAACTCTCCACTCCCTCCCCAACACAGTCTCTCTCTCCTGATAAAGTTTTTATGTTTGGGACAGTATAGAAGCCTAGAAAATACACACAATCTCTTTGCTCTGGTTTTCCTCTATAGTTACCCAACAGGTCAAAGACTCAGAATCAATCCAGATACTTAGTAGGCACCTATTATTTGAAATATACTTAAATACAGAAGCAAATATAGTGCCTACTCTTAAAAACTGAGAATTCAATTAGGTAAAGGAAATACGCATATAAAAAGATAAACTACAAATGTAAGGCAGTATACAGAAAGTGTCACTTAATTAGTATAGGCAATTTGTTGCTGTTCAAAAAAGAAGGGTTCCTTCTAAGAAGATAATTATTCTTATTACCATTTATTGAAAGTCTATTACCTGCCAAGCCTTTGCATGCATCATCCCATATAATTTTCCTAACAACTCTGAGACTCAAGTTTTTTACTCATTTACAGTGGAGCAAATGGAACCTCAGAAGAAATGAGTAACTTGCTCCTGGTCCGTCCCTTAGCCACTGAGCCAGGATGTCAACTCTTGATTGCAAAGCCTTTTGGTTTTCCACTATTCTCAACTGAGTTGGTTGAGGAAAAGTCATGAAAGTGATAGCATTTCAGCTAGAATTTACAGGGTATAGGATTCTACAGAGCCAACAATAAGAACAGGTGTGATGGAAAACCTAAGAATGATTAAGGGGGAAATGAAAGCAACAGAAATACAATGTCTATTTTGCAAATATTGTTAGATTGCATCCAGTATGTCTTAGCTCCCAAATATTTTATGATAAGTTTAGTGAGTAAACAGCTCCCTCCTGTTTTTTTATATCTAGCCTCTAAATCAGGTCAAAACATCTCAGAAATAGAGACCTCTCCTGCTGAAATGAATTTTCCATGTTAGGAATTTTCTTCCGGGAGGTGATGATGGGGAATTCATTCAAGTTGGCTTAGGTGTGTTATTCCCTACTATGAACCTCTCAGCTTGCTCTCAGAAGACAGAGAAATGCAATAAGACCCACCACAAACTACAAATAAAAATACCCATATCTTTTATCCCTGAGTTATAGCTTTAAGATTAGACATTTAAAATCAGAATTATCTAATGCAACCTAGGGCCTTTTCTTGGAGGTTCACACTTTTGTTTTGCACAAAGAGAAGGGCTTTCTCTTATACACCCATGCCCCACACCCATCTCAATCTTCTGATGTTCACATAACATTGAGGTAGGCCATGAAAAATTTCGAAGCAGGCATACATTGTAGCCCAAGAGAAAAATAATTTTTAAAATGTACACTTTGGGCCAATCATGAAAAATTTCAACTTATTTAACCAAGTAGTTAAAGTTTCCTAAGGCTCTAGATATCAGTATTCTTTTAAATTTTTTTAAATAAATGGCCAGATAGTAAACATCTTCAACTCTGCAAACCATAACTGAGTTGTAGCACAAAAGCAATACTTAAATGAATGGGTGTGGCTGTGTTCCAGTAAAACTTTATTTATAAAAGCAGGTATCTCCTGCTCTAGGCTGAGTAGCTATTCTTGGAGCTCATGGGCTATGTAGGTGAACAAGCAGGACCTCAGAAATTCTAAGAGTTGCAATCCACGCAAGGATATTACTGACAGTTTTAGCTCACAGACTACCCATGCTGCCTACTCATTCTTATCTACCATGTCCTCCACTCCCAGTTTAGTCTCTTTACTTGACCCGCATTTAAACTGCTCATGGATTTCCATTAGCAGTTATGGCAAAGGCAGTGGATTTATTAACTCTTTTTCTTCACTCAATATCCTCATTTATAACAAGGTGTGTGCTGGAGAACACAGAGCAAGATCAATAACCAGAATGAAATGGGGAGATGCACAATGTTGCTTACTCAATTCTCTTTATTCTCCCTCCTTCATTTATGATCATTTGTTTGTCTTATCTCCCTCTCCCCTTCGCTTTCCTGATCTCTTTTTCTCTCCCTCTCCCTCTCTCTCCTCCACACTCTGATTTTCATTTTGCTGGGACCCAAAACAACATATGATCCCTTGGCCCCATATTAAATACATGGTTCAGTTGATTACTGCCAGGTTAAGGCAGAATTCCTTTCCAAGCACTAGAAATAGGCAGGAAAGAAAGACTTAAATCTTCAAAGAAGGCTTTCCTCTCCATTCAGACTCCAAGACTCACAAAAGACATCGTCAATCAGCAACTGGTTTTAAAATTCTCTTAAAAGTGTTTTACTAGTTCACTTTACTTGGCATTTTTATCACTATTTATATCTGTAAAGTAGTGATATAATTAGTAAAGCTATTAATGTTTCTTATGCTTAGTATTACGAATTCTACAAATCTCAATAAATCTAGCTTATAGCAAAATAAATAATGATGATAACACTGTCAAGCATCAATATAATTGCTGGATGGCTTTGTGTAAACCAAACAATATTAGCCCTCTTAAACAACTTAATCTGGGCTACTTAACCACCCTCCCTGTAAACTGTTCATGCTGCCCAAAAGGAAACCATGAATAAGGACTCCATAATTCCCCTTATTTTGCACGGCACAGGACAGCAGAGGAGGACCAAGCCTTCTGATTGGTCCTCAACATATTGCTTCAATAGAATGAGATTCATTTTATTAGGTCAGAATAAACATAATGAATTTCTATATCTGTGCTATTGCTAAAACTAAGGTAATTGAAGTCCCTGGACACTCAGTTATGGATACATCTGGACACTCACTGGGCTTTTGAAATTTTCCACTCCAACAAACGAAGGATTCATTCTGACCAACATAGAACCCTAGTTTTCAGCAGGGTTTGCCTAAATAAAAGCCTAACAATCTGGGGTCAGAGCCCTTTTCTTAGGATGAGGAAAACTCCATTAGTTTCACTATCTGGTTCAAACTCCACTACCTACCTACACACAGAAGCAGGGAACGTAATCTTATCTACAAGCTTTTCCTAGCATTCCTGTTTTCAGTAACCAGAAAGGATTAAAATGAACAGCCTGTGCACTGGTCCTGAGTAATGGGCCTTCAAAAACCAAAGTATTAGACAAATATATCAGCTATGAGATATAATACCAAGGGCTAGTTCCACAGTATCAGCATTTTTAACTTTCATTCGGAAGTGGCTGGATGATAAGAGGGTACAATTCGTATTTTGAATTCAGAGTGAGAAGATCTTTTTAATAAAACAGTTTTACTATGTAGCTATATATCGTTTCCTACCAAAATGCAAAACAAAGCCTGGATCTTTTATTTTTTTTTCCTCTCCAAAACATCCATAATGATAGATTTCCTTTGTATTTTTTTATCCCTTGAATGAATTTTTCAAGCCAAACTTTCATTGCTGCTGTTGTTGTTGATGGCGCCAAAAGGTTTCAGGGAATCTTTCTTCGCGCAGAAAGCAGCTTGCAGACCCAGACAGAGACGGAAAGGAAGTTGTTTTGGTGAATAATGAGAGCTGAGCCAGAGCCTCCCATGGTGGCATGTGTGAGGCCAGATGAATAGGACAGCACTTTGTGTGTTCAAAAGGCAGTCTCTTTTTCTATTATCCTTGGCCTGTTGCGCTGGCCTGCTAATGAGTGGACACGCATTACCATTCATTAGCATTTTTATGGCACTTTATATTTGCAGTGCACATTACAAATTGTATTTGTTAACCTCACAACATTCCTTGTGAGATCATCACCATCGATTCACTTTTACAGAGCAGCCTATGTTCAAGGGGCCATGAGTGTATGCGCAAAATTAAGAACGGGAAAATGACACAGAGTTTTGGATCCAATTCTAACAAGGACATCAAGGGATACTTAGGTGGAGGAGGATATTCTTGATGGCAACTCCAGCTCCCCATGGTTTCGCTTATTTGTCTTTTTTATCTATTGCCTGCAAGTTAATTCAAACCCCCTTGAACTTCACCGTTGTTGAACTTACTACATGATAAACAAGACTCATACCTGTTTTATTTACTTGTAAAATATTTTTTTCTTATTTTCTTAGAACTGGTTCTTTTACATTTCAACACGCAGCCAGTCTTTCTATCAAGCATGATGAAGAGCATATGTTTACTTTCCATAATCTTATGCATTTTCTAGATTATATCCTCTCTCTGGTTTGGTCTTTCTAGAATCAAGTCTTTCTAAAACACTATAATCTGTGCATTTTGCCCCCTTGTTAGCTTTAGTCACCTTTCCTAAGTTTTCTTCTACACCTACTGTATTGAGAATGTGCATTTCAGGTTTGGGCACAACATTTTTTGAAGTCTATCATTATTCCTCCAAGTTCCCAGTGATGGAGAGACAAGGCCCAGCAGGTGAAAAACAATAGTGGTCAAGGCCAAAGCTAAATTAATGGTGGAGCTCTGGGTGAATCTTCATCAGTTGGACAATCTCATTGACCTAAAAGGAAATGTCCAATTTCTAAAAACTGTCAGACAGTAACTATGAGACAAGAGTTTGCTTGTCTCAAACTTCTTCATTAAAGGAACTGTGGAGATAGATGGAGGACGGAGCACAGGGAGAGGGCCAGGCAGAGACAGCCCAGGAACGCCCTTGCAAATGTGTGACACCCTCACAGAGCTGCCAGACCTCCCGGTAGAGGTGCACACAGGCACAGCGTTCAGAGCTGCCAATCTCATCTAAATGGCCTGCGCAGATTCAGGAAGATTCCCTAAATCACAGCACCATTTGTCAAAAGCCTACTACACACTTTTTTTTTTTTTTTCATTTTGAAATAATTTCAGATTTCAAAATGTAATAAAACTGGCACAAAGAATTCATATGTACCCTTCACCCAGATTCATAAACTATTAACATTCTTCTTATTGAAACAAGATTATAATAGAATCTAAAGGGCCTATTTTCAAATTTTGCCAATTTTCCTGTTAAAGTCCCCTTTTTTTCTGATCTGGTTTCCAATCCTGAATTGGAATTTGCATTTAGACTGTTTCTCAGTCTTTCTTTTATCTCTTACGACCTTGATATTTTCGAAGAGTACAGGTCAGTGGTTTTAAAAATGTCCCCCAATTTGGGTTTGTCTGATGTTTCCTTATGATTAAATTCAGGTTATGCGTTTTAGCTAGAACATTACAATGTGTTATTGTGTCCTTCTCAGTGCATCATATCAGGAGGTATGTAATTGAGATTTGCCCATCATTAGTGATAATTTGATCACTTAACAAAGGTGGTATTTGTCAGTTTTCTCTACTGTAAAATTTCTATTTTTTTCATTTGTAATTTATATGTGCCTTAGGGAGATACTTTGAGACTATATAAATATCTTATTCTTCATCATTCTTTCACATACTAATTTTAGCAACCTTTGCAGATTTTTTATATGCCAGCATTTTGCTAAGCATTTTTCCTGTGTTATTTTAATTTTCATATCTTCCCTGTATGTTATAATTACTAGCGTCATTTTATCATCGAGGAATCTAAGGTTCATCAGAGTGATTAAGCAACTTGACCTGGACATATAGATACTGTGATAAGAGCCAGGATTTGAACCTAAATCTTATTCTATTACTCTTACAAATGAGAGAGGAGGCATTTCAGCATCTAATATCTCCATTACATATGGCCCCTGGGCTATTCTATTCTGCTACCATGGGTGTATCACTACTTAGAAGTATACAAGTGCAATATCAGTGACACAATTATTGACGTGCCAAACCAAGATAGAAAGTGGGGAGGATGTTGTAAAGAGAACACAGGGAAGCTATGCTCATGCTTAACTGGAATTGACACACTTATCATTTCTTTCTTTTTTTTATGTCTTCCTTTTTTCTTTCTAATTTTTTGTTGTTATTGTTTTAATTTGAGCATAACCCTTTAATCAGCATGGTGCAAAGCAAGTTAATAAAAATCGCCCAACTCCTGGGAGTTTAACATTTAAATTAATCAAGTCATGGCCAGGCTTGGTGACTCGGTCCTGTAATCCCAGCACTTTGGAAGGCTGAGGCGAGCAGATCACTTGAGGTCAGGAGTTCAAGCCCAGCCTGGCCAACATGGCAAAACCCCATCTCTAGTAAAAATACAAAAATTAGCCAGGCGTCGTGGCAGGCGCCTGTAATCCCAGCTACTCGGGAGGCTGAAGCACAAGAATTGCTTGAACCCGGGAGGCGGAGGTTGCAGTGAGCTGAGATTGTGCCACTGCATACCAGCCTGAATGACAAAGACTCCATCTCAAAAATAAATACATCAATTTAAAAAAAAATTAGGCCAGGTGCGAGGGCTCATGCCTGTAATCCCAGCACTTTGGGAGGCCAAGGCAGGTGGATCACCTGAGTCAGGAGCTCAAGACCAGCCTGGCCAACATGGTGAAACCCTGTCTCTACTAAAAATACAAAAAAAAAAAAAAAAAAAAATCGCTGGGCATGGTGGCATGTGCCTATAAGTAATCCCAGCTACTCGGGAGGCTGGGGCAGGAGAGTCGCTTAGAACCCACGAGGCAGAGGTTGCAGTGAGCCGAGATTGTGCCATTGCACTGCAGCCTGGGTGACAGAGACTCCATCTCAAAAAAATAAAATAAAACAAAAATAAAAATAATTAATCAAGGCCAATGAGTTATGACATAAAGTCTGTCTGCAGCTAAACTGGCAGACAAACCCCAAGAAGGAGTTAATGTCCCGAGGCCCAGTGGATAAACAAAGTCTTAAGAGAGATTTTGGTCATTGTATGTTTAACCAAAGTGAGGTCATGAGAAAATTATCTTCTTATTAAACAATTTCAGTTTACACTATTTTATTGAGTTCATAAGTTCTGTAAGAGCAGAGACCTTGCCTAGCTTGTCCATCAGTGTATTCCTCAAACCTAGTACAATGCCTGACTCACAGGCTTAAATATTTGTTGAATTGAATGTTCTGGTAAAATGTTTCAAAGTGTGTTATAAAGCAGAATATGTGGTGACAGTGAGGGTTCTGGGGAAGCTAGGAGGGTTTGAGTAGTGAGTCAACTTGAATATATTTCTAAGAATAGGTACATTGGGCCTAGGACCAATAAACATTTCATCTTGCTTTGATTCTGTACATTCCCATGTCTCTGGTCTTCAAGAGAAAAATCTAGCCATGGTGACAAATCCTGTTGTTGCGATTTTGTTAATTTACCTATACTGCTTATGAGCCACCAGCACTAACATAGAAACCAGTACCTCACTTCCCTGAAATATTTCCATTGCCACCCCCTAGCCCCCTTATTAGGCTCTTCCACTTATAAGTTACAGAACTTAAGTCAGCAGAGAAAAAAGAAATTATTAACCCACATAATTGGCTTTAAGACACAGCTAGATACAGAAGTTCAAATGATGTCACCAAATGATGTCTCTTTCTCTTGCCATCTCTTAGCTCCGCTTATCTCTATTCAGTTCAAACTGGGTCTCCTCACACCAGGTAGGAAAGCTGTTAACACTCTCTCCCTCACACACTTCCAGCCTGGCAAGCCCCTGAAAAACAACAAGTCTTCCCTATAGCTCTGTTGAGAAAGTCTTAGGAGGACTATGATTGGCCAGATTGGGTCAGGTGCCCATCCTTGGACCAATCAATATGGCCAAAATGGTGAAATATTCTGACTGGCTACATCCTGGTCACATGCCCAGCCCTGTGGTGAAGTCAATCCAGGTGAATCAATCATATGGAATGGATTATCCACAGGAAAAGGAATTTTGTTGCCAGAAGTGAATGAGAAGTAATCATCAACAGTCAAAAGTACCAGATGTCCATTAGAGCCTACATATCACATTAGCAGAGAATCTAGTGCTCCTGCTCTCATGAGAGAGCCCTGTCCTGGCACCACAAATACTTTCTTCTCCGACCTTCAGTGGTGTTAAATCCCCAGTCAGGTACTGCCCTACTCAGCTCTATAATAACTGGACGTGGTGTTTCTAATAAGAAGACGAGCTCCTGGAAGACAGAAATCTTTCTTGTCCTAGACAGCCCTCCTTAGAGCCTGGCAAGGACACACAGCAGGCTCCACAATGACTGCTAAAATTATGAACCAGAACCTTCTGTATCAAGTCAACTCATCTCAGGCCTCCTTGTTGACCGTCTATGTGAACTTTAATCCAATTTAGGCTTCTTCACATAGTGGAGACCTGAACTCAAAACAGCATGGCAGGCAAGAGCTTATTTTTGTTTGGGATTCCCAAAAAAGAGATTTGTGTGGGTACTTCAGACCAAGATTATGCCTGACCCCTAAAAGTCCTTCTTTCACAAGTTAGTGAAGACTTTACAAATGAGAAAGTTTAGGAGAAATTTCAAATGCGATTTTAGCCCCTGCCACTGACAGAAGAGGAACTGTCATGTGAGAAGTGAAAAAAAAGAGAGAAAAAGCCTTCAGTCCTGTAATTCTGGCCCCACTCCTGCTTTCTGCTGTAGAAGTTGGCTTTCATGGGCCCGTTGACCTTGTGCTCGGAGACTGGTCACGTGGAGCTCAAGTTATCAGACATCACTTGCCTGGGTACATGCTTATGACTTTTGTCTGTGTTTCTATTACACAAATGCCACCAATTCTGTCTTTGCAAGATTGAATTGAAGATTGAGCTGCCTGAAAACTCGAAGAGTGGAGCCTCGCCTTCCCCTCTGCTCCAGCGGAGACCCGGTGCTGGTCTCCAGCACATCCCTAACTGCGTATGGTTCCCACAAGCAGATCTGGAGGAGATTTATGTTTATCCACGTTCTCATGCCCGCTGACCTTCTGAATCAAAGGTGGAGTTATAAACCAAAGAAATTTACTGCAAGACTCTAGTACGCGCTTGTGAAGCTGATGCATTTCGCTCCTTTTTAATAAGGTTAAAAATAGTTACAAATGGAACATTGGAATAAGGGCTTGAAAGAGCTCTGTGGTGCATCTGTGACTTAGGCCTGGCCAACATTTTACAGCCCTGCCTATTAAAAATCTCAGACCGCAGTCGCTCCTGCTCCTCATCCTCACCAGGCACACTAACAATGCTGCCTGTGGACCACTTGACATTTTCATCCCTGGCGTCTGTGTCCCAGAAAAATTGATGGGGCCAGGCAGCCTCTGCTTACAATTAGGGGAGACCACTCAAACTACCTGTTGACTTGCTGCACATTAAGGACAGCCAGCTGATATAAAAAAGCTTTGGCAAAAGAGGAAAGCAAAACTTTACCTAGGGTCCAATTTTGAGATGGCCAGAAAAAAACCCACTGAAGGGGCAAGTCCATATGACTGCTACCATCCTCATTTTTGGCCAAATGGAGGGAGAAAAGCAAATTAAACCCATAAAGCCTAAGATCAGGAAGGAGAAACTGAGTTAGGATAAGACCCCATTCTTCAATGCTCTGCCCCAGTCAGAGTCATACTCCATCTACCTACTGAGCAACCCTGTGCACTTCTAAGTAGAAAGCAGCAGCAAAAGCTCCATGCCTCCTGCTGCAACCTAAACGGTGATGTGATTATAAAACCTCAGATCAAAGGATCGAAAGGATCCTGGCCAAATGCCAGGGAGAGTCATGGCTCCTGATAGAACTAAATCAGGTCCAATCTGGATCTGAGAATAATAAAGCAATTAACCACGAAGTGACAGAAGCTGAATTTCACAGTAAAAGCAGTGCTAACCAGCCATTTAGCATCATGAGAACAAGACCCCTTTCTTCAGCCACCTGCGGTCACCACCCCACCCCCTACTCTGTAACTCCCTCCCCGCTTGCAACTCGTTGAAAGGGAAAGATTAAGCCCAGGCCTGCACTAACAGGCAGACAGGGGTGGGGGCAATGGACAGACCCCTCATTCAGAGGCCTCCAGAGGACACTTTGACTTGGCTCAGAAAAAAAGAGCTCACTAACTACTCAGAACTTTTCAAAACAAGGCTCTGACTACTTAGTTAATTGGCAGAGATGAAAGGCAAGGATGCAATGAGAAATGGTGGTGTTATCAAAAATGAAGGAGAAAAAATCTGAATAGTAATTTCAGCCTCCATCACTAAAGAATCTCAGAAGACATTAAAAACTGGGTTTTTGAAAACCACATTTAAACTCACCAGTCTATGTTGATATAACCTTGAAGGTTGGGCCATCCTTGCTTGCTTTATCCTAGAGTCATACACAGGCATGCACACAGACACACAGAGTATTGCTAAAATATTTTAGGAGTGGGCCCTGGCTTTCCCACCTGCTTTGGCCAGGCAGTAGAACACATAGTCTGTAGGACCACTTATTGATAAGAACTACCTTCATGACTAGCTACAATGGGCAGATTGAAGATGGAATTTTAGAATTATAGAACTTGTTTTTGAGTCCTTTGATCAATTGGTTTACACACGAAGGTTTGTTTTCATCATTTCTTTCCCGGGAGAATCCTAAAAGAGGAGATGATAAAATATAAAAGAAAAAGAATGAAAGAAAGAGCAATTATCTAAAGATAGTTCTAGGCAGATATGTAGTACACCTGCATATGTATATGTAATATAATAATAAGAATATTTGGTTCTAGATAATTGCTATATTATTGATACCTTTCAACACTCAACATGTTTATATCACCTGCCAAGGTCCTGTGAAGCAGAATTCACTGGTTTCTTGAAGGAAAAAAAGAAAGAAATCCCCTCCACTCTCCTTTTTAGAGAGAACTACATATACAAATCTATTTGAAAAGGTTAGAGAAACAAGATAAATTGGGTAACCCATGTACTAACTCTTGAGGACAGGAGCAGCATGCAAAGGGAAGCCAAGCTTTAATTCAGTAGATTCCCTTTCTGAGCTGCATTTGCAGCACTGTGATCCAGTCTTTGGTCACTCCACATGTAATCCAATTCTCTCCACAGCATGGAAGAGCCAAGGTCTCCTGCAGTTTGGGATGATGACTCTTACTTGAGCCAACATTTGCTTTATCAAGGAAAACAAATTTTAAAAACTGGGAACAGGCTATTAACCCAAAAGGTTCATCAGTTAGATTAAATAAAAGCCCCAAATGAAGAAATTATCTCTCCTTTCTAATCAATATCACTGAGCATAAATGGAGTCAAGCTGATGTACTTAAAAATTTCCCATCCATGAAAAGAAAAATATGTACATGCATGTACACACGCATGCATACACATTTAACCTGTTGTTTTTATGACTGTATTTTAAAGCACTGAGAATAGGGGTTTATAATGGAAATATTGACAGACCCCCAACTAGAGCAGAGTTAGCAGGCACCACCACAATAATCATTTAAGCTATTTTCTTTTTCTTTTTTTTTTTTTTTAAAGAAATGATCAGCAGCCCAACCAAAGAGAACAGAGTAAACATGGCTGGCATCTTAATGACCTTTGAGCATTAGCAGATGGCCTTTTTATGATCACAGATTAGCAGTACATGGTTGTTTGTTAATGTCTGATAACAGGTGCCAGTTGTCCCTTACACTTCTTTTTGTGTTTGTTCCTTTACCTTTTCAGAGTAGGCAACAGGGTTCATTTCTCAGTGAATCTGCTTTCTCTATGCCATCTTTTGTTTTTCTTTTGGCTGCAACACAGCCCTCATCCCCCACCCCCACCCAAAAGAGAATGCAACCCCTTCAGTCTCTCTCTCTCTCTTTCTCTCCTCTCTCTTCCATCTCCCTCTCCCTCTCCCATTGTCTCTCTCTAGAAACACTCGCCTCTGAATCCCACTGCCTAATTCTTGTAGTTTTTGGAACCATATGACTCCAGTAGCAAAGTAAAGGCCACTATAAACCAGGCTTACTTTACAGGAGGATGTCTGGTACCATCCATGTAAATGACAAAAAATCACAGCCGTGGATTCATCCAAAGTGAATTAAATGAATCAGCCAGAACTGGTGAAGCCATACCAACCCTTCCCTTCTGCCATTTACAGCATCCAATCCATGTCACCTGAAAGAACATGTCTTCCTCTGCAAGCTCCTCACCTTCAGGACCACTTTCCTCTTTCTGCTCACCTCTCACCTTCTAGTTCTTTCTTCCCCAAGAAGAAAATCAGTTGAGTGGAGCTAGTGTCCAGTTTATGTAAGTGATTTTTCCACCCATTCTTGGGTAAATATTCCCTTGGCCTAGTTTATTCCATTACTGGAGCAATTCAGGAGGGCACCAGGATACAGAGTAATTACCAAATTGGTTTCTCTGTGTTCATCTCTGTGGGTAGGGAAAGAAAACTCTTAGAATTAACCTCAGATGCTGACTGCCTCCAGGTCCCTGGGGCTGCAATCTCCAGTGAAGCCAATGAAGCCTACCTGAAAGTTGGAGCAGAAGCAGATCTCACAACACTCACAGAACATGTGAACTGGGCTGCCTCCGACCTGGAGGCTGAAGCCCTCTTTTCCCAAACCCAGGCACCGAAGGAGAAAGTGGAGGCAGAGCCCTGCACGTGCTCCCTGAAGTGTGTGCACAGGGACAGCCCTTATGGAAAAAAAAAAAAAAAAAAAAAAAAGCTGCATTTCAAAATGTAAGCTGAACATACGTCATTAGAAAACAAGTTGTTTTCCAAGGCAGACACATTTTTTGTCTTTTCTAAAATATCGTAAGATATGTGTCTGTTACAACTGCCTTACAAAATACAACTCAGGAAATTAGAGGCATCTTATTTAAAAAAAAATAGATCTGATCTAGGCTTTCTAGTCTAAAAAATATATTAGAGATCCCCCAAAAGGAGAGATTTGTCACCGAAATGAACAGAAATATGGACATTTTTAGGATTTTTTTTGTATGGGTTGAGGAACTTTTCTATTTTGACACAATTGTTTATTTTAAAAATCATATTTTCAGCTCTGAAAAGCTGTGTGTTTCTCAAGTAAATATTACATCAGTGGGAATATCTATTGCCATTTAGGGACTGGTCACTTGGAGCCAGGGAAGAGGATTAAATGACTGCAGAAGTCAAATCACAAAGTAAATGTAGAAGTTGGCTTATGCAGCCGGGCGCAGTGGCTCATGCCTATAATCCCAGCACTTTGGAAGGCCGAGGCAGGTGGATCACGAGGTCAGGAGATCAAGACCATCCTGGCCAACATGGTGAAACACCAACTCTACTAAAAATACAAAAATTAGCCGGGCGTGGTGGTGTGTGCCTGCAGTCCCAGCTACTCAGGAGGCTAAGGCAGGAGAATCACTAGAAACCTGGGAGGCGGAGCTTGCAGTGAGCCAAGATCATGCCACTGCACTCCACCCTGAGGGACAGAGTGAGATTCCACCTCAAAAAGAAAAAGAAAAAAAAAAAAAGAAGAAAGAAAGAAAAAAAGAAGTTGGCTTGTACTAGAAAAGTATGAGTCTGCCACGGTCCCATGGCCTCTTGTTGCACAGCCTCCCTGAGCTCCCAGAGGTGATGGTTCTCTGGACTCCTGGTCAGGTTTCAAGATCCCTGGTCTGCACTCAAAGCTTTGTCTTTGCCCAGCCCCTCATGCTGTGCCTCAGAGGTGTAAAACTAATTAGGAAACTTAATCCCAAGATGCTGAATTTTGAGATCATGTTGGGCAATTTTTTGTTCTCCATTTCAAATATGAGAGAACAAAAGAGAAAGAGAAGAAAGGAAGCCCATACTTAGCTCACAGGAGCACTGTTACATAGGACAGCTAATAGTGGAGAGATAAACCCAGCTTTCTTTAAACCGAGATAGTCCAACCGATGGCCCACTGGCTGCATGCAGCCCAGGATGCCTTTGAATGCAACCCAATACAAATTCATAAACTTTCTTAAAACGTGATGAGATATTTTTGCAATTTTTTGTTTGTTTAACTCATCAGCTATCGTTAGTGTATTTTATCTGTGGCCCAAAACAATTCTTCTTCTTCTGATGTGGCCCAGGGAAGCCAAAAGATTGGACAGTCTTGCATCTAAACCTAGAGGCTGTCTAAGTAACAGTGACTCCATCCACATGCAAAATTGACCACGTACAAAATAAGGAGGAAAATGCGTAACGGTTGAAGTGAGACTTAAAGAGTTCCCCCAACTCTGGAAATCTTATTTGGAGAAAAGATACGGTTGTATCTCCCCATGCCTATCAGTTCTTTAGCAATCAAACAGAAACAGATTATCTTCCACCTGGACTCTGCTGTCAGAAAGCCCTAATTTTAAAATGCTAATATATAAATATCCTTCCCTGGCCTGAGTCAAATCCAGGCCTCATTTTTGTATCACACATAGTTAAAAAGATAAAATGAAAAATCCATTACTAATTAGACTGTTAAATTAAACTGCTTTAACTTTATTTTATGAGAGGCATAAAGTACATAAAGGGAAGACACAGAGTGGTACCAATGACCTTTAGCGACGACTTGTGGCCCACCCCGATGCTTTTTGAACCACTTGCCTGAAAACTCCTGGGTTTCCTAACACCTTATATTCCCTCTCTACCACTTTGAAACCTGAAGGATTTATTTTTAACAGTCCCTCACCCACATAATGACTTTAAAATTCTTTAGGTTCATACCTTAAAATATAGCTGGGAATTAAGAAATAATGTCAATTAACAGTTGAAGCTCAGAGGCACTAATGCAGTTAGCTAACCATTTTCTTCTGGAAAGCTGTCGTAGGTACATAGAAGAATCCAATCATCCTAAAATTTCTGTGCTCTAGTGAAGAGTCAGCAAACTATGGCCCAGGGGCAAAATTTAGCCCACTGCCTATTTTTGTATAGCCATGAGCTAAGAATGTTTTTTACATTTTTTAAGAGGGCTTAAACAAAAGAAAAATTGTATTTATTAACAAATGAAAATCATATTAAATTCAAATTTCAGTGCCTGTAAGTGAATTGGGTTTTTGTTTGTTTTTTTGTTTGTTTTGTTTTGTTTTGTTTTTTGGGCATTTTTTTTTTTTTTGAGACAGAGTCTTGCTCTTTTGCCCTGGCTGGAGTGCAATGGCATGATCTCGACTCACTGCATCCTCTCTCTGCCTCCGGGGTTCAAGGGATTCTCCTGACTCAGCCTCCCAAGTAGCTGGGATTATAGGCACCCACCACCACACCAAGCTAATTTTTGTATTTTTATTAGAGATGGGGTTTCACCATGTTGGTCAGGCTGGTCTCAAACTTCTGACCTCAGGTGATCCACTCGCCTCAACCTCCCAAAGTGCTAGGATTACAGGCGTGAGCCACTGTGCTTGGCTGTAAGTGAAGTTTTATGGGAACACAGTCACTCATTTATGATGTTTGTCTGTGGTTGCTTTACAGTCCAATGGCAGGGTTGAGTAGCTGCAACAGAGATTGGATGGCCCACAAAGGCTGAAGTTTTACTATCTGGTCTGGCCTTTACAGAAAAAAAAAATTTGCCAAGTATGGCTTCATATGTGGCCTTGCTACAGGCACAGACAAAAGGAAGTTGGGGGCCACTTGCTCCTGGGAGAAACTGAATGTCAGGGAAAGTGTAGAAAAGTGAACAATTCTGCTAATATAACAAGTGTAGCAGAGATCTTAGCAGTGTCCCCAAGATAGGACACTAGAGTAAATCAGTGTCCACAGCTAACATTATCTTATTTGTATTATAATATAAGTTGTTAACTTTGATGCCTTTATATATATATGCAGTAGTGCCAAGTGACTGTTAGGTTTCCTGACACATTTACTATTATCAGATGTTCAGCTGTGTGTTTGTCATCAGGGAAGCCACTTGTAGCCTCTCCAAAAAAGGTTGGCTACCCATTGGTTACATTTTTATCTTCCATGATATTTCTTTTCCATGAGATTTTTATCTTCCATGAGATTTTTCTTTTAAGAGCTGAGATATGCTCTAGAACAAGTCGCATTCTTGAGAAGCATTTCTCTCCCAAGTAAATGAAAGACAAAGCCGTGTCTCTATAACCACATTGGTTCATGCTTGCTGGACAGCCCTTCTGAGATCCATGTCCAGTTCTGCCTGACTTCTGTCTCCATGATCAACTACGTGTGTTAAATGTTGTTTGTTTCTTTCCCTGGTGTTTGTTGTTGTTGTTGTTTGTTTGTTTGTTTTTTGCCTTGCTCTTTTCCTCCCTTCCTTTCTCTCTCTCCCTCTAAGTACAGATTTTGAAATCTGATAAACCCAAGGTCCAATCCCAATATCTCCATCAGTAGCTATGCTTCCTTGATCAAGTCATATAACCTCTCTAAGCCTATTTTCTCACCTCTAAATTAAAGATAAGCATAACCATCTTGAATATATTTTAACATCTTGGCAGTATTTCAAGCATTCAATATGTTATCAATAAATAGTAGCTGAAGGAATGGTTGATGACAGATAGATATTGATACAGATACAAATATAGATACTGATGTATTTATTCCCATATAGAAAGTGCTCAGTAAACACTTGGGCAAGCTTACTGTTTACTTATCCATCCCCACAATGAGCACTTATCAAACACAATTCCATGATCAGCTCTATGCTAATATTATGGGACCTTAAAAGGAGGTAAAATATGTGAAAATTTTTACTTTTTCAAGGACCTACACACATCTATATGGCCAAGATCTAGGTCACAATGTGACAGATTAGAAAGTGCTAATTGTCACATCTAGCATTCAGTTGGCATCCCATATATTCTGACCAAATACATCCAAAATCTAAGCCATAAAGAACAAATTGGGAGTGATTAAGAAAAACTGGTAGAGATAAAAAATAGAAGATAAAGTGAGTCAGGGAGAATGTCTTAGTGAGGAGTGGAGCTTTTTAGAAGTCTGGAGGTGAATTGGTAGAAATAAAGCAGAAGTGCATCCCAGACAGGAGGACAGGCAAGTGGGTCAAAGAGGCAACAATGAGGCATCAAAGGCAGTTGCACAATTGAAGCAGCCTGACTTTGGTATCAGACAGACCTGTCAGTTTTTAATTCCTCCACTTTCTAGCTGCACAAACTCAAAAAAACTTACTTAGCCTCTCTAATAATCACTAATAAAAAAATACTAAGATCTACCTTACGACATTATTGGCACATACAAATGTCAAGAATTTGTAACAATTGTCATAGTATCATTTAACTTTAGGTAGTTGCAGTCATTTGTTGTTGGAGAGTTGAATGCTCTTCCCACCAGGGCAGCCTTGAAAGAAAGATGGAAGCTTTTAGTGTTGCACTCGTGTAAATTCAGCACCCTTCATGAGGAAAGCCTGCCATGTAAATGTCAGTGATCCTTGGGGGTTTGTCCTTGACCTTCTTCTCATCTCATGGCTGACCAACTCTGCTTGGGTGGTCTCTGCTGGTCCAATCTGTACTGACGCTACATGAAAGTTTAGCTACCCAGACAAACACCTGAGAGTCATTAATACCTCCTGTTTATCCTTCACCAACCTTCTTTTTCTTCACAAATAGTTAACCAATTATTCTGTCACTTCTACCTTCTCAATAGCTTTGGTATTTCCTCATGTTTCTGCATCCTCAGTGTCATTGATTTAGTTTAAGTCCTCATCACCTCTTCCACTGGGTACGTCAATTCTCTTCCTTGCCTCCGTTCTGCCCTGATGTTGGAAGAGCAATTTTCCTCAAAAACAAACCTGGCCATGCCACCCTCCTGCTTTAGACCCTTCAAGAGAAAGGTCAAACATTAGTGTGATGAGCAAAAAATTCATGGTCTCATCTCTTACCAGATGAAAATGGCTTTTCACACATGTGTATGTATGTGTGCACATGCACACACACACCATGCTTACTGATCTGCTTGCACTTCCCCTTGTTCCCTCTCCCTTCCTTTCTTTTTATCCTGCTACTTCTCCAACAGAAACACTCTTCGTTATTTTTTAAAATCTGACTAACACATGCACACATCCTTCAGAACTCAGCATGGATGTCACCTGCTCTGGGGGAAACTGTCCCTAACACCTTATTCTTTCCACACTGAAGTGAGAATCCTCATCCACTTTGTATCAGTTGAACTTAATCAGGTGTCAGTTTGTCTGTCTTCTCCCTCAACTCCACTAACCTATTTGTGCCCTAAGGGTAGAGGCCATGTCTTCATCTTTGTATCTCTGGGAAAAGGGTATCAATGGAGTATGGAGAGGCTCCATAATTGATGGGCACATAGGTGGATGAGAGGCTGGTTGGATAGCCAAGTGATGAGGGTTCAGAGACAGATGTATCTATTTGAGAGCCCTCAGCTGAGGATTTGTTTGACACCATGAGAGTCTGTATTTGAGGAGAATTATAGTACAAAAAAAAGAAGACAGAGGCTGGAGTTTTGAAGGATGATGTAGGGAAGTGGGAGAAGGAACCACTGACGAATGGTCTAAACAGAAACTAGGGTGGCGCTGGAATGGCTCTAACATGTGACAGGGCACGATGACAGCAGGTACAGCCTCTGCAGCACAGAAGACACCTTAAGAAAGGTGCGTATTCTTTGACTTGTTCACCTATTGAAGGGATAATTGTGAGAGCAAAAACAGAATTAATCTAACTATCTACCCACAGGAATGGTTAAGTAAATTATGACGTATCCACATCATAGGATATTATTTAGCTCACTCTCAAATTATAATTACAAAGAATCTGTAAACATATTAAAACATTGCTTAAAATATTTAATATGATGTTCAAAAGAGAGTTAGGGGAACCAAGGAAGTGCCATGTTATGGAAATCAAGAAGAGAAAAACTGCCAAGGAGAAAAGGGCATCAGCCCAGTGATAAGACAAGGGAAGTTGAAGAGAATGGGACAGGTGACTAGGCTTCGAGGACTTGGGTGTCCCTGCTCTAGACTGACCCCACTGTGTTTCTCAGTGGTCACTCATGTGTCCATGTCTTCCCTACTCCCTGGAGCATAAGCATCCTGGAGGAAAGCACCTGTCATATTTGTGCCCAGTGCAATACCTGGCACCATAGTTAGGCCTCTTTCCACTGTGCCATAACATCGTTCATATTATCAAGTAGGTCACCAACATCATCTTTACTAATTTTCTCTAACTTCCTTTTTCTGAGATGGAGTTATCATGGCCCTCATCTTGCAAAATCACAGAAGGGCTTAGTGATTTATTTCCCTTGGTCACAGAGCAAAGCATTGCCCCCACCAGAGTGAGCACCCCAGCCCCCACCCTGAACTCTACTCTGCCCCTGATCCAGAGTCCTGGCCTGTGACTTGTCAACTAAATTATTCTCTTTATCCATTTAGTAAGGGTGCTTAATTGTTTAGTGTTCATGCAATTACTGTTGTCTCTGTATTTTCCCTATGTGTGTTAATTATGCTATAGCCAGTTGTCTGTGCCCCTAGAGGGCAGAAGCTGTGGCTTTTTCTTTTAACATTTTCAGTAGTGCCAAGCTGAGTGTCATGCCCTTAATCGATCGTCTGAAGATGATGATGCCTCTGGGAAGGACAGTGGGGATGACTCCATATTCATTGCTCTTTTTCACATTTCCTGCTAGCCTTCTGAAAGCCAGTTCTTGGGGATATTGGAAAGACCAGTGGCTGTGAATCACGAAATGGAAAAGGTCCCCCTACTGTCCTTCCCAGCTAGACATAGGGGAAAAGAGGCACACACTCCTGGCTTGCAGGGTGCTTAGTAAGAGGACCCAGATATTTAGCTGAATTAAAGGGTGTTCAAAAAATATAGGACATGGAATAGAGGATGGAAAAATAGGACTCCTGAGAGGAAATTTTCTTCAATGGGTGGTATGGAGGGACAGAGTAGTAGAACCTCCAGGACCTCAGCGAGCCAGCAGCTTCTATCTTCCCATTTTACTGGCAGAAAAACTGAGGAGCAGGTAGAGTGAGTGAGTGCCTCACAGCCTGCCATGGCAGAGCCTGACTGGCAGCTGAACATCACTACTTATCATGGACAATTATTACTGCCATCCTGTGCCATAGTACCCAGAGAGCAAATGGGCACCTACCCCATGGCATGGGGAGTAAGTAGTCTAACTTTTTCCAGGGACTGAGCAAGAAGACTCAGTTTCCCTGCTGAGGCCACTCAAGAAGGTTTTTATGATACTCACAAAGTCAGTTTATTCCTAGGCACTCCTCTCAACCAAATATCATCATCTAACATCATAGCAAAGTTTCCAGTCTGAGAAATTAAATAATTAAAAGCTACCAAGAATAAAAAGGACTTGAGAATGTAGACATCACCATGGAGGGAAAATTGTGTTTCCAAATAGTTAGAAGAATAAGACAGGTCTCACATGAAATGCACCATAGGGCATGGCCCCCTTTCCATTTGTGATAAATTTCAAATTTGCTTCTCTAGGATCATATTCAGATTCATTTTCTCTCTTGCTGTGGAGTTAAGTCACTGGTGCCTCCCTTTACGTGGCCTCCCAGTGTGCACCTCTCTAAACTCACCTGTTGTCATGTGATGGACCTCGTTCTTTTAAAGGAGTCCTGAAACCCAACCTGCAGTTGCTGTTTGCCATTTGAAACAGTGCTCTTTTTTTTTTTTAACAAGGTAATACTTTACTACTTTGTTACTCCCAAGGCATTCCAGGCTCCCCTTTGAACAAAAGTAGACTTCTCAGGATCACCAAGATAAAGAGATGCCAAGAGACCAATTCCTATATAGCTCTGCATGTTGACAACATAATGACCAAACATTGAACCCAGTGTTCAGATAACTAAGGTAGCCACTCTAACTTCTGTGGGTTACATTGTTCTTCATTGGTAGTATATGAGTATCTGAAAATCCGGTAAAAACGTATGTAACTTTTTTCAATCACAACATATGAAATCTAAAAACACTTAACCATATAGATGCTTGGCATTGGATAGACGCAGATTGTTTTTCTATATTGCATGATTTTCTACTCATACACACTGAAATATATTAAGTAGCAGGGAGATAGAGAGAGAGAGATTAGTGGAGTGTGATGGACCACCTAATTTTTTTCTCTCCTGGAATCCAAGAGCTTCCCCCTGATTCTCTGGCATCCCATTCTCTTGCTGCTGTGTCTGGATCTTAGGTCTCCAAATTTATTTTTAGTGTGGGTAGTAGATGTCAACCACTTTGTGAGCAGTAACAATGGTGCTGGGGATCCCTGTATTGTATTGCTAAACAACATTCGGCAACCTCTTGCTCAGGGTGTTACTTCCTTTTGATGCTTTGAGGTAGCATGGTCTTTTCTCTTCTCCCTAGTCTTGTGGCTTTGTTTGCTTGTTGCATTTGGGGTGTTGGCATGGCTGAAACCCATCCCAGAGAAGATGTTCATTGAAATGTCAGAGGGTGAATGATTGACAATGGGCACAGTGCTTTTGTATAAGGGCTTTGGCAGGTGATTATTGGATTATTTCCCAATAAATGCCATCCAAATCTACCCAATGCACCACTGAGCAATGTGCCAAACTGTTCTGGGGCACTAGTACATGCTAATGCTTCTCACCAGTGGCTGCTGGCTTTCCAGTCCTTTCCTTTGTGAGGTTACAGGGCATTGACTAAACACAGTGACTTTTGTACTTGTCACAATTAGGAGAGCATGGCATTTTTTTCCATACAAAAAGAGCTCACATTAGGTTATGTGTTCTTCAGTCGTATCAAATATTGATATGGATTCTATTCACACAAGCTGTGTCCTTTAAAACTAGGAAGGCACCCCAGAAAGCATCAACCTCCAAAAGTATTTTTAATGGATGTGTCTTAATGCAAACATACGACATTAAAATATCATAAGCCAGGCCTGTAGCACTTGGCATGCTTTATAGAATAACTTGATGATGGTTTCAATTGTGTGATGCAATTTTTGATACATTTAAATAATAGCATGGAAAGAAATGTTCTTTCCATTTGGTTTGAGGACTGAGTGGTTTGCATATGCACTTACCTACCAGCTGACATCAATTAAATTGCTGGGCTTCTCTCAACCAGTTTTCTTTTTGATATACTGGGGACTCTAATACCTACATACCACAGGATTCCTATAAGAATCAAATGCAATATCATTAGAAAATGCGTTTTATAAAACACTATAAGAATTTAATGGGTATGTATCATCATCACCTTATTTCCAAGCAGATATTCCTGATTCTAATACAAAAAAAATTCTTAAATATCACTGTCATAATAAAAATAGATAACCCTCTGAAGCCCAAGAATAAAAGTTGGCAGGTTACCCTAAAGTTGAAAAATGGAGTTCGGTTCTCCAAAGTGCATGTTGAGCTTATTTTTGTTTTGAACAGAATAATGTTAAAAAAAAATCAAATGACCTCCACTATCACTTTCTTCTATACATTATTTTATTTTCCCTAGCTTTAATAAAGTATGATTGACAAGTATATGTTTATGGTGTACAACGTGATGTTTTGATCTACATAGACATTCTGAATGTTACATATTACAATCATGGATTGCTTAACGACAGGGATACATTCTGAGACATGTATCATTCTGATGTTGTACAAACATCATTGAGTGTACTTACACAAATCTAAATGCGGTAGCCTTCCACACACCTAGGCTATATGGTGTAGCCTATTGCTCTGACCAGTGTTGTATATGTTGTCAGTTACTGACTGAAACATTGTTATTTTAAAGAGCACTAGTTTTCTGGGGTCTGTATTTCTCTCCCTTTCCCATTAACGGTAGACATTGAGAGTTTACATTAGTGCTTTATAGTCGCTGAACTGTCAGAACATTCCTGGCTAATATACATGCCACTGTATTATCTCTTCACTAACACATAAGCCAGTTAGTGAATTCAGCAAAGGGAAGATTATGAAGTTGCAGGGTTTTTTTCTTTTTTCTCTTCCCTTTTTTTAAAAAAAAATTTCTGTCCTTTCATTTGAATTTTTTTTACTTCCCTTCTTTATTTGATGTTTGTAATTACAAATATTTCATCTTAGTGAATTATATGATTTTCTTCAAATAAGCTTTGGATTATGTAAATTCTGCCAGTTGGGTCCCAGCGGTGGCAAGTGCTCAGCCTTTATGGAGCTATACCTCCTCACTAAGTCCAAGTGTTCTCTTCTCCTATCTAATTACATGAAACAAATTTCTGGCAGATATGATATAATTATCATTGTCTATCTTCAAAAATGTTAAGGGCAAGAAAACAGTTTTATTAAGGTATCTATTCCACCGATAGACAATATGGTTTCAATTTTACTCATCTATTAGGGGATTTTGACACTTGCCAGGTATATATTGAGCCTTTGTTATGTGCCAGGCAGTGTGCTAAAGCCAAGGTCAAAAGTAGAGGTGTGGCAAGTGAGTTGCCTAGGGCAAGTAGTTAAAGAGGTGCTCACTCACACAACCCTTAAATGTGTCTCCTTAATGTTTGCACCCTTGGCACCTCACCTACCTCACCTTAGTCCCAGCCAGGTAAGCACTGAGATATAAAGGTGAGAAGACATGGTGTGACCTTCAGGGACACATGCAGAAAGCGGACAGACACTAAATGAATATAATCCATGCAAAGTGACCAAAGAAGTCATAGGGGTAGAAATGAAGTACTCTGCTTGGTAAAATGCTAGTATAGACTAATTTAAAAATGAGTGAGATAGAGTGTTATTGGCAGAGAAACCAACTATGAGATTATATTATTTTTTGAGGGTCTGAAATAAGATGAAAAAAAGGAGAATGAAAGTAGCATTATGCTGCCAAACATCCAAGTTGAGTGGATGAAGTGGGTGTATAATGGAGAGGAAGGGATAGTATTTTAGGCTAAGTCCTTGGTGTTGGCATCAAGAGATGGATGGTGACTTCCCAATGAGTCCTCACCACATCAACAGAGCCCTGCTGCCCAGATGTTACTGCTGACTTCCCAGCCTGTCCTTACATTATGAAGCACTTTTCAACAAAGATAAAAGTTTGCACCATGGTATCTTCTGTTCCCAAGAACTGTATCCCGCACCTCTGAAAATCATCCTTCTGCTTTTTGTAATGAGCAAGTAGAAACATCAAAGAACAATGCTAGATTTTCTTTATTAAAAATATGAGGGGGAAAAAAAGAACATTATGTGTGTTATTGTGGGTATTTCCAAAGAGGTAACTAAAATTTTATGGCAGCCTTGTTAGTAACTCTATAAATCACCTGACAGCATCTCTGTGTTAAAATCTCTTCTGCATATAAGCAGTAAAATGAAGCACACATTGGAAATTCTGATGATTTCAAACTTCAGACTTTCTTTTAAAGTAATAACTTTAATTCAGTTCTTTCTGGCATAAACTTTTTCATCCCATTATGTCAAAAATTGTATTATCCATCCATTTGTCTGTCAGAACGTCTCCCTGCGGGGTGATAGACTCCTGGATTCTCTACTCTAAACCTCCCCATTACATCCTGCTATCAAGAGTCACAATTTTCCACGAAAGTCTCTGGTGACTTTTGACAATGTTTTACAGAGAACTAGACCAGGAATTGCAGAGTTAAAGGAAATTTTCCATTCTGGCAATGAATATGTAATAGGCATTACACTGTGCAGTATTCCAAAAAATGTAAGGTTCATTAAGTCTTTCTAAAGCAGGGACTTTCGTGTAGCTTTGAAGGAACCTGTCTTCACAATGGCATTAGCAAATGGCACTTTGGGGCACAGAATATTAATATTGCGCATTAAGGAACAAATTTGTTTAAATGCTGTATAGCTATATGTGGATGCCGATGATCCAGAAATAAATAAAAAGTGAATAGTTGTCCAACTTTGTATGTAAATTGCCTTTTGCTTATATACATAAGAATGCTTTTTCCTCCTAAATTCCTTCATATTAACAAGCAGGAGTGTAACTAATATATAAACTAAAGTCATTCTCTTTAATGAGAATGCTAAATATTTTAAAGAAATGCAAGGCTGTGAAATATTGTCAAGGGCATTTTTATACTTAAGTTTAAGAACGCTTATGACTTAACTGTTGAATTATTTAACATATTCAGCCTGGAAGCACTATTTATGTATGTTTTTTAATGTTCTTACTTATGTTGGCTTTTCTTTGCTAAGGATTTAGGACCTTTGATTTCTGTTTATAAAATTTACATTTTTAATCTCCTATTTCTATGTATTTCCCATTTGACAGTGGCAACAATATCCAGAAGGAAGGGGAAAAAAGGAAAAATCTCATGGAGCCTGAAACAAGGGCTGCACATGAGAGAAACTTAAGCCGTGCTGCAAAGGGAATGAAATCAACTTTGGGAGCCAAAAATAAAAGTCCTTTTCAATGAACCACCTGTATAACTAAAATAATAGACACAGCAATATGCACCTGCTTTCCCAGCTTTTCTCAAGGAAGCATGCAATACGCAAGGAGCAGGATTGTCCTGTGCAGTAATATAATCCTATACAATCAGCATTTGCTACTTTGAGTTGTCAGCTTCTATTTTTCACCCACGTATTGTTCTGCAATTATTGACTAGCCACAGATTTATTAGAGCAACATAAAAACACATTTTCCCTCATTTTATTCAATTAACCTTGATTCATATTTCTTAAATGTTGAAGGATTCCTCAAAGATTTGGGAGGGATTCTGAGTGGAACACCTATCAGTGCTGTTCAGGAAATGGAAACTGACAAGCAAAGGTAGGGTAAGGGCAAGTTTTATTTTAGCTATTCCTATTAAATTCTACTCATGTGGTTAATAATATAAAAATTGTCCAAGTGACTTGAGATGGAAATGCACCTAGAATTTGCTTGAAGCATTTGTGATTCTATAAGGACTATGTTTGGAAGAAAGGATGGGCAATTTTTAAGACGAGCATGTTTTTGTCTACTGATGTTTCATTTTACAAACTATATATATGCATACACATACGTATGTACGTATGTATATTATACATGTATTACACACACACACACACACACACACACACACACACATTTCAATTTTACTAATGGTACTGAGCCAAAATTTTTCTTCTGCACTAAATCTAAAAGGCACAATAATGAGGCTTCTAAGGGATGGGGCCACAGTCATGCAGTCAGGGGAGGAACTGAAGGTTTCCATGACTTGTTTAAACCATTAGAGGTCTTCTGGACATTGATTTTTCACTTTCATTTAGTCTATTGTTATTAAGCTTACTTTTTAAAAGGGTACCCTGATTAAATGAACTTTGAAAATGCTGGATTAAATAAAATTCAGTAAGATGTTTCCAGAGCCTTGAATAGATGATTATGTTTTGTGAATCCTCAAGCAAAAATGGTAATAGCTACCATTTTCCAAACATTTTGACTAGGAATCTCTGTTTCTTTATTTTTTTTCCAGAGCACCTCCAGGTGAGTGTTCCACAGAACACACATTGGGAAACAATGATTTTGTCAATAAACTCTTACTGAACCCAGCCATGGAATAGATTCTGTGTCAGGAGTTTATTGTTTCAGACAAATATGGTTTATTATCAATACCACAGTGTGAAAAGAGACTTTGTCACATTTATGCCCCTGATCGTCACAATGTCTAACATATGTATGTGCTTAAGAAACAGGCATTGAATGAATGAATACATTAATTAAACAATCTAAAGATTTATACTTAAGTGCATTTGCGCAGATGATTATATCATTTTAATATTTATTTCATACTCTAAAGAGATTAATATACTGTTTAGAGAGATTGGGTGACAGTTAGTATCCCTGTCACCCAATCTCTCTAAAATTCTGTTTAAGGGAAGAACCTAAAGGAAGAGACGTTGATTTAATTGTATGAAAGATTAGTGATCAAAACTCATCTGCTTATCTATAATGACCATGCTCCTGACATCATTACCAGCTGTGGGGAGGATATGGCCCTTTAATAGCTTTTTTCTTTTGTATTCTCCACTTGCCTCTCCATAAAACATGCATATAACATCAACTCCATAACAGAAGGGCATAGAAGTGGTCTGGGTAAGGCTAGGCATTTTATCTTTCACTGGATTATAGAGGTTTACTCTGTGCAAAGCTAATGGCCTTATAAAGACCATAGGCAATGGGTGCCTCAGGTAGCTATGTATCAGGTATTGTCACCATACTCTAAAATTGACATTCTCATTTTTGAGGTCGGAAGACGTACTTTTTTTGTGACACAGCTTCATGGTATGTGTTTATAAAATATATCAATTTAAATTAATTTTGTTCTGGAAGTATTAACACAATAAATATTCTGGGACAGCTCAAGGTATTTGAGTACCGCATTGGCCAGAATTACAAATGAATGTACCAGAAAATAAATGAATGACTGAAGTCACTAAATACCTGTAAACCATGGGCATGAGGATATTTAAATGAATAGCAGCATTTCTTTTTATTTATGCAATTTTCCCTCAAAGGTAGAAGGAGACTCACTAAGTAGTGGTGCCTGAGTTACCCTACTGGCTTGATCCTGCCTCCCAAATTTCACTTCTTTAAAAAAAAAAAAAAAAAAGAACTTATCAAGGATCAAGAATCCATAGACTCCTCAGAAGGTATGTAGAAAGAAAACAGCCCTATAACTTCAAGAGAGTATACAGAGCAATTTGGAAATGCAGATTCAGTGGGTAACACATGAAAATGAGCCACAGCTATTTCCATTTCTCCACAGCAGAGCGTTTCCCACCATCATCTCAGAATGCAATGAGCTGACTGAATAGTTTACCTAGAATGAGCTTGCTGAGCACCAGTAAGTCAAGCATCAAAGTTCCAGAGGTGTTGCCAGAGCCAGATGATCAAGCAGGTATTTTACTCAAGTTAGGTCTAAGATTGAGTCTGGGAGATTAGCTAAGGCATGAAAAACCCCCTAATCACATGGGGTCTAGAGTCTGGACACCCAAAAGCAACATTAAAAAAAAATGCTGTTCTAACAAGGAAGAGTCACCAAGGCAACTTCTAATATCAGAGCAGGAACTTTTCCTTTCCATCCACTGAGCTGTCTGCAACTTGAGAGCAGAGATGACCTCATTCACTTTAAGTCTCCTCACAAAGTAACTTAGAGTCTGGCCATGGTGGTAACTTAATAAATGTTAGAGAAATGAATTAAATTTCTTTTTGTTTAATTTTTCACCCTGATGCTGGTTAAGGCAGAGGGGGAGAAGCTGTAATTACCTCGTGCCCTTTGGGTTTCTCCAGCAAAATAGAAATCTCAGTATTCAAAGACTAAATAAAGAGAAAGCTATGGTAACCCTCCTGAAAATAGGCTCATAGCCCCTGTGATAACCTTCTTCCCTCACTCTTCTCATTAGCTGGGATCTAGTCACTATCATAAATTTATTCTTTTTTCTAAAACCCAGAATTCTCAATTAACCAATAAGTCAATTCAACATATTTACAGGCCAGTGGCATTTATAATTGTTCCTCTGAGGTACCCCATGATTCTAAGGAGCTTTTAGAATTGGCCAATAATCAAAATAACTTTGGTTTAGTTTTAGTGCTAAATGTTTTCCTGGTAGTACTGGGGTCAACGGGTGATGGGATGGATTCTTTCCAGGACGAGTGAAAGCTAACAACTGGTTAGGCCAGTGGCTTTAGGCAACCATTCAGGAGCATTTCCAGAAGAAGGCAAGGGGGGAAATTCACCAGAATTAACAAGTACATACAGTAAAGTAGTGGCAATACAAAGTTATTTGCCATGCACGGCACGGCAGCCAAAAAAAGGTGGAAACTATCTGATGATGGTTGGTGTCAGGGGTATAGCAAGCCACGCAGGTGAACAATGCAGCAGGAACATGAAATAAAATAATTCTAGCAGCAAAGAATAAAACACAATCCATACAAGGAGGTCACAATTAACAGGGAATTATTGCAGCAAGAAGTGAAATGCAGACACCGGTTTTCAATAGAGCTAGATAAGTCAGTTTAGGCAACTGGATTAAGGGAAGCTAGGAAGGCAAAAAAAAAAAAATGTTATTACAGGTTACTAGTGCAAAAATACTCCTGCAAGAGCTTAGTTTAAAACAGAAGGCTAGAACAAAAAGTCAATGAGTAATCACCCAGGAGCAGGGGGCATAGGAATTACAAAGAGGCACAAGGAAACTTTTGAGGGTAATATATATGTTTATTATCTTAATTATGGTTATGGTTTCATGGGTATACAAATATGTCAAAACTCATCAAATCTCATGCTTTAAACATGTGTTGTTACTGTATGCCAATTAAATCTCAATAAAACTCTTAAAGGAAAGGAATGAAAAAAAGGGAAAAATAATGGCTAAACTCAAGCCTAGACGCAGCATTCAAGGGCTAAGCATGAAAAATAACAAAGCTGAAAATGTTAAATGGTTGACTTGAGGACTCAGCAGTTCTTTTGCCTGCTATGGTAAAACAGAGGAAAAGAGAGACACAGAGATCTGACTTACCTACTCGTACGTACACTCACATTGCTTATGACAGGTAGAGAATTCTCATTAGAGGAAGTGGTGCCACAGTGTAAACATACAGAAGAGTGTGCCCATCTGGGGAGGGCCCAGCAAGCTGTCTCCCATGAGGTCTCACAGGCCCACATTTATTTCCTTCGTGCACTTACCCTGATGGACATGACATAAGATGGAACTGGGTCCGTGGTTAGTAAGGGTCTGGTCTGTATTTCTGACAGCCTCTGGAACCTAACTCATCAGCACACCTAAGAACAGCTCCTCTCTCACTGAGAGACTCGTGAAAACCAAGCTTAGGAGACTCATTTATTTATTTATAAGAAATATTATTTTCATTCAGACCGAAATCCTTGAGTCTGGCTGTCCTTGTAGCTTTCTTCTCCAGGCTAGAGCCTCATGGTAAGGTGAAAACTTATTGGAAGCTACTGTGAATCAGAACAAGCGGTTGGACTGCTGGCATGTTAGACGGCATAGCCAGACATACCCATCTCACCCAAAGCACAGCATTACCCCTCTCTCTCCTGGAGGAGACTTGGATGAGCCAAGGATTACTGCCATAATTCTCTTCTTTTTCTACATTTGTATCTGATTAGTCCCTTCTCTGATAAACATATTATTTCTGTAGATTTGTCATGACAATGACTTGGCTTGCAGCCAGGTATTTCTGAATGTGAAAATCAGTTCATTACTATAAGACATTGCTTATCTATGCTCTGATCCAATAGATGTTGACTTTATAGCTTAATCCTCAAGAGGAATTCTTTTTTTCTTTATTTATATATTCCTGGATAGATATCTGCAACTCCCATATACTGATACTAGTGTATATCGAATACAACTATGCTCCATATGTTAATTGTTCCAAAAGATAATTATTGGATTCTGACACATTGGAAATAAGAAACCATGTATATAGTAGCTGCCATAACTCTCCGACAACCAAAATATTTGTTTATTTGAATCATTCAGTTTCTTCACTATGCTGGCAAAGTTTTTACCCTACTGTGGGAAAACGGGACACTTAGGTACAGATTAATCTGTCTGTCCAGAAGCAGAGCAATGTTTCCTTCTTCACTACAAATGCAAGTCAGAATAGAGAGACTCCTTTGTGAAAATTCACAGAACACAAATGAGGAGCTTGTGCTTCATTGGAGGTTAGTAGTCAAAAACTTTGCTTCAGAAGCCTATGGAAATTAGGGGTGCTTCTCTCTGGTCTTATTAGCTCTCTAATTCTTTATCGCAATAGGATAAAAATTATAACACTCAAGAGATAGAGTCCAGTTGAAGGGTTTCAGTCTCCCCAAATTCTCCTGGTCAGGCAATATCAAGTTGTCATCCACTCTGAGTCAAAGAGACTTCGACGGTCAGCACACTGAAACTAAAGAGGCAGTGGGTGGCTCTCCTGGAAGTAGGGCTTATGCCTATGCCTATGGTGAATCTGTTGGAGAAACAACCTGGGAACTTTCCAGCAAAGAGAAGTGAAGGGGGAAATTATTCAATTCCTTTTAGTACCTTTGCTGAGGCACAGACTGGCCCTAGGGTAGCAACCAATCACAACTTCTCTTCTCATTTTTTGGAACATGAGTTTCTCCCTATTTATCAAGATGTTTATATCAAAAGATCAATCAACTGTGATTTCATACAAAGAGACTTAAACAGGGTATTTGTACCTATCACATGTTCTTCTTCCTTAATGCTTGTATTTTTGTAAGGTGAACACAGGCCTTTAAAACACATTAGTTAAAAATGATGATCACAAGTCTCCCAATCTTCTCTTGGAAGGTATAGAAGGTCTCAGGTCTCATTTAAAGGATAGACCTGACATCTGGCATAAAAGATATTGTCATATGGACCTTGAGCCTGCCATTGTCCACAAAGGGAAGGGCCAGGCCACATGCTGGAAGCTGGCACTAACACATATGTGAGAAAATTAATTGCTTGGGCAATTTGCTCTCTTTGGCTCTGGTGACTAGGTTGGGAATTAAATAACCACAGTTCTCTGAGTCAAGGAACGGGGGTCATGGTAATTCACAGAATAACAAAAATGGAAGGATTTTGGAGCTTAAAGGGACATTAGGGAGCCTCTAATCCAGTGATTTATAAACTCTTTACGATATTAATTTTTTTATTTTTTAGACAAAAATCTTACATAGACCCACTACATAAAGTGATACACTAATGTAACTGATCATATGGATATAGTTACCAAGGGCTCTGAAGAAAAGCAGCTTGAAAACCATGGGGTAGCATAACGTCCCTCATTCTACACATAGGAGAATCGAGAAACCTTCTTGATTTTGCCACACAGGGTGAGTGGCAAAGAGAAGACTAGAAAATGGTCTTCCAAACTGCTGTTCAGTACTCTCCCTGCCTCAGAAGCAAAGCTGTATTTCCAGAAAAGGCCATGAGGAATGAAGGAGAACCAGTGCTTATTCTCCCTAGTCACATTAACACCCAAGTAGTACTAGTTGGTGCATAGTATTAGTTGCAGTAACAGCAGCAGTGTAACGTTCGTAGTAACAGCGACAGTAATGACAGTAATAGTAGCAGCAGCAGGGGTAACATATCCATACATGATGTTAAAGGTTGCACATTATATCATGTGCTAGCCAAAGGTAGACAGGAAAGAATATGATCACCCTCATTTTACAAATGAGGAAACAGGTTCAGAAAGGTTAAGTGACATACCTGCTCAAGGTTGTTTATACTAAGTATCAGAACTGGGTCATCACATTCCAAAAGCTGTGCTCTTTTCCCTACTCCATCATGTTGTTCTATTTTGAATATGAAACTTTTTCCAATCTTCTTCACTTCCTGAAAAACAGGAGTGAAAATCCAGCTCATCGAAGAAAATAACCATTCTGCTTGGCATTCTATCAACAGTTTGAACTTGAATAGATTCAGATTCTCTGCAAAGAGGACCTATATCAGGCTGATCAATGGAAAAAGTATGTCAAAGCATAGAACTCCAAAAATCATCTATATAGACATTAAACATTTTCATTTAGCTTGAAAATTATAAAAGCAGATTATTTGCCAATCTTCTGATCTAACCTAAGCTTCATCTTTGAATCAGCTGTTTGGAGTGCAGGTTGTCTTTCTTGCATAAACCACACCCATAGTTTCCATCTGCTACAATTTCTAATCTCAGTTTCTTTAAAGTGGGGTGAGAACCAAGACACTTGCAAAGCAATCTGAATGTAAAGTGCTTTTAATTTTAATGATCTTCCCCCAATCCCTTGCAGATGTCTTATGCATGCCTAATCCAACCGAACACTTATTTTAGTGACTTGCTTTCATCGAGTAGTCCCTAAGTGTTCATTTCAATAACAGAGGGAGAACTCTCTTCTTCTTGCAGTCATATTTCATCAGTTAGTAAATATTTAACTCAATCGCACATAATAAGAATAAGAACAACCCATATAAACCCCTTGGAAAACAAACACCAGACTATGTGTTAGCAAATAGCTCCATTGGTGGTGGCAAAGAGACAATGGTGTATTAACGACTAGCCTTCCTAGCCACAGACATCTAAAAAACCATGGGCATTGTGCATATGCTTTAGCGTTAATAGAGAGTGCTGCTTCATTGCAAAAGTTTTTAGCAGAGGTCTATCCAGAGGGTTCGTCCTGAATTCTGAATTAACTGTCCTTGGTTGTGTTACTTTGCACATGTACTGGGAAGCTGTTTGGTACATCTTATATTTCCGCAGATGGTCTAGCCAAGCTCTCAGAAAATGAAGACTTTTTTTATTCAAAAAAAAAGAAGAAGAAGAAGAAGAAAATGATTCTCCTCCTCTTCACCCACTGCATCTATAATCAATACAGGACCCTTCACCTAACAGATACTCCAAGAAATGTCACTGCCCAGAACACCAGGATGAGGAGAACAGACACTGCACCTTCAATCTGGTCAGTTATATGGTTTTCAACTTCAGGAATGCCTTATGGGGTAAGCAAGGTGGTAACTGAAGGCATTTTGAAACAAAATGTAAATGTGACATGTTTTCAATTGGGTAGTCTTATTTCCAGGAGCCCCCTTACCCTATCTCCAACACACACACCTCTCCCAGGAAACACAGCCAGCCCTGGGCCACTGCTATTCACACATTTAGATCTTTTAGGACATTAGGGGCAGCAAGCCCCACACTGATGCTGTGGCTAAGATTTACAAGCTCATCTACCTTGGGATGTCCTGAATGGGACCCCAAAATTGGAAGCTTTGGTGGGCTCCTAGCATCAGAAACTGTAGAGGAAGGAGAAAGCGTGTTCAGGAAGCTGCAGTCCATCCAAATCCTCTATTACGCTCAAAATGGTCTACTTGAAAAAATGGCAATATTTTTGTATGCCAGCCTCAAAGTCCCTGCTCGAAGAATGCTTGTAGCAAAGCTGTATTTCCTCTTTGAGGGTTTTTGGAAGAATGCATTTAGGTAGGAGCTAGCCTTTTCTTCCAGGAACAGCACGGGCTATCCGTCAATCTACTGGCAAGCCGCTCATCAAGTTCACTCGACAAAGGGTTAGGGCAGCAAGCCCCCACAATAATGTGGAAACAGAAATATTACAAAGTAAAGGCTTATAAAATAATAAAAATTCTACTTACTTCAGATACCTCCCTGTGCCTTTGGCAAAATACCTTAAGCATTCCACATAAGGCGGGCATTGTCTTTATAAGATGGCACCTCATAAAATGGTATTAAATATCACCAACGGGGCTTCATATTTCATCCAGCAGGGTTTAGGCCAGGCATGTTCTATATCACACATTATTAGAATGACATCTGCTTTGCAAGTTGTGTACCCAGGAGCCTACCCGGATCACTCATTTCAGCACTCATTCTCGAGGCTTCTGTGCCTTCATAATGCCTAATATGTTTAACTCATTTTGAACAGAAGTCTAAAGCCTGCCACGGCCCTCTGGCCAAAACTGTAGCTGTCAGACAACGGAGCCGGCTATCAAACGTTCCTCATTTATCATTAGTGGTGATGCAGTTGTACAGAAAAATGTGCCCACTGTACTGAGAGGCTGTCAATTGTTCCCCCCTATAAAACTCCTCTTCTCAAATAGGGACATTTCTCTGTGGAGGCCTTGTCATTACATTTCGCTCCTTTTGCCACAACACTGAATTTATAATGCAAAGAAAATGGGGAACATATATTCATCCAAATGGCCTCTCTGCTGTGAAATGAATAAGGAGATCATCAATGGCTGCATCAGTGCAGGGCTGCACACGCCATTGGGGGAAATTAATAGAATCAGCCCAGAAAGAGCAGAAAGAAAAGAAAAAAGAAAGAGAAAAATCACCCAAAGGTTTTGTGCTAAGGTTGAATCTTGAATAATAAAAGCAGGCATCTGGTAGTTGGAATTCACTTTGGAATTGCCATTTTTGCCAACAAAGTAGACTACAAGGGCTACAAATCTGCCTTCTGACAAAATCTCCAACTTCTGGCTCCTCTTGTGACTACTGACAATGGTGCTTGGGGGCTTCTTTTCCCTCCTGTAAACTGTACCTCTGAAATCAGCTTCCAGCCCCAGAGGCTACCCAAATTTTTTGTTGATATTTACAGCATGTTTCGGAAGGGCCTTAATGTTTAAAAAAGGAGAAGTCGGGCACTCCTGACAATAATCCACATCATTATTATTAGGCTTATGATTACTATTAGGATTTGAAGTTCTGCCCTTAACATTTTATTTCTCCTCCACCCACACGGCTGCCTCCTCCTACTCACACACCTTAGCCATCCCTCATATGATTCCGTTGGGAGAAAAAAAAAATGGACTCAATTAAATGCATTTGAGATGCCTCCGGGTTGTGCTTGTGTCTTCAAAGGGAGAGTGTGAAAGTGTTTATGGTAATGATAACACATCCTCATTGACTTCAAAGAGAGAGTCCTGGTGAATGCATTCATTCCCATAGTATCTGTATCAGCAGAGTTATTATCCCATTTTATAGATGGGAGAACAGAGTGCCATGCCTTGAGGGTATGGATATAAATCAGTCCCAGGAAGAGAATGAAAGCATTGCCATGGGCTTCTGGATATTTCCCAAGTTCAGACCATTTTCCCTCTGGCAGCAGCAACAAATCTCATCCTTAGAAATAAGCAAACTTTGAGATACCTAAAACAAACCAACACAGCTGAAGTGGTTTGGGGAATGCAGTAGTAAAGCCTAGCTCGCCACTCTGAGCCCAATTCTGCTCTCTCCAAGGTATAATCTGTCCCCAGAGATGAATAGGCTAGAGCCTTAACACCAGAAGACGAGGACGGCTAATAACCAGCCCCTAGCTGAACAAACTCTCTCCAGCCTCATTTCCCTGACACCACAACCCTAGACATTCCTTACCTTTTGGAGAGCCCTCTCATTCCTGGGTAGGGAAAGGAGTCAAGAGCCGCAATGGCCCAGGTGAACTCTGCGAGTAACTACGTAAACTCCCCTTGATACCTCTTAAGACCCATCCTGGCTGCACAACCTTTTACCCCAAGTATGCCCATATTTTCTCATCTCTAGACCCAGGGTCTTCAACCCATTTTTTCTCATTTCCACACCTGTGTCACTCCATTTCCAGAATTGTTCCTCTTTTTCTCTTCCAGTTGTTTCCAGGAGCTCATACTTCACTGAAAAACTTCTTCTCTGTCCCAGTGATTTTTTTTTTCTCTCTAAAACCATACTTTACTACAAAACACTGGGCCTGGAAACACATGATGATGAACTGTCCTCTTGATTATAGTTTCAAAATATGTCTCCAGTTTCCCCAGTCTTCTTTACTTTTCTCTTCCTTTCATCTCAACCACCCTTCATTTTTTTTTTTACCTGCTTGCTCATAGTGGTCCAGGGTTATGGATATAAAGTATGTTCTTCATCCAAGCTTCACAGGGAATTTATGGTTACTCATGGAGCTATTCTCCTGAAGGCTTCACCAACTTTAACATTTGTCTTATATCCTTCGGCACTGTTCATTCCAACTCAAGGCTAGTAACTTAGCACTGCAACTGAATTGCAGATAAATGAGTCAATTCAATTTCATTCAAAAAGTGCTACAGTACCATGTAAGTCACTAACATTGAGGATATATAGGACACCATCCTTCTCCTTAAGGAGTTTATTTATTTATTTATTTTTCTTTTTTTAATTATACTTTAAGTTTTAGGGTACATGTGCACATTGTGCAGGTTAGTTACATATGTATACATGTGCCATGCTGGTGCGCTGCACCCACTAACTCGTCATCTAGCATTAGGTATATCTCCCAGTGCTATCCCTCCCCACTCCCCCCACCCCACCACAGTCCCCAGAGTGTGATATTCCCCTTCCTGTGTCCATGTGATCTCATTGTTCAATTCCCACCTATGAGTGAGAATATGTGGTGTTTGGTTTTTTGTTCTTGCAATAGTTTACTGAGAAGGATGATTTCCAATTTCATCCATGTCCCTACAAAGGACATGAACTCATCATTTTTTATGGCTGCATAGTATTTCATGGTGTATATGTGCCACATTTTCTTAATCCAGTCTATCATTGTTGGACATTTGGGTTGGTTCCAAGTCTTTGCTATTGTGAATAATGCCGCAATAAACATACGTGCGCATGTGTCTTTATAGCAGTATGATTTATAGTCCTTTGGGTATATACCCAGTAATGGGATGGCTGGGTCAAATGGTATTTCTAATTCTAGATCCCTGAGGAATCACCACACTGACTTCCACAATGGTTGAACTAGTTTACAGTCCCACTAACAGTGTAAAAGTGTTCCTATTTCTCCACATCCTCTCCAGCACCTGTTGTTTCCTGACTTTTTAATGATTGCCATTCTAACTGGTGTGAGATGGTATCTCATTGTGGTTTCGATTTGCATTTCTCTGATGGCCAGTGATGACGAGCATTTTTTCATGTGTTTTTTGGCTGCATAAATGTCTTCTTTTGAGAAGTGTCTGTTCATGTCCTTCGCCCACTTTTTGATGGGGTTGTTTGTTTTTTTCTTGTAAATTTGTTTGAGTTCATTGTAGATTCTGGATATTAGCCCTTTGTCAGATGAATAGGTTGCGAAAATTTTCTCCCATTTTGTAGGTTGCCTGTTCACTCTGATGGTAGTTTCTTTTGCTGTGCAGAAGCTCTTTAGCTTAATTAGATCCCATTTGTCAATTTTGTCTTTTGTTGCCATTGTTTTTGGTGTTTTGGACATGAAGTCCTTGCCCATGCCTATGTCCTGAATGGTAATGCCTAGGTTTTCTTCTATGTAGAAAGCTGAAACTGGATCCCTTCCTTACACCTTATACAAAAATCAATTCAAGATGGATTAAAGATTTAAACGTTAGTCCTTAAGGAGTTTAAATGGTCATTTAGAGAGATGCAAAGAATGTCTGTGAATTTGATATCTAACACTACAGATCATTAAAATAATAAGAGTCTATAAAACAATAAAAGGTCATAAGAGTGGACTATGTAGACGAGAATGGAAAGAAAGCACTTAATGGAGAACATGAGTCTTGTTCTAAACCTGGAAGGCACTAGAGGAGTTGATAATTAGAAAGGATGGTTGAGGACTCTCCAACTAGGAGTGACAGCAGGATCAGAGGCTATGAACTAGATCATTGCCTTTAAGTCATTTGGAGAAACAGAAGAGAAGAATCCTGGAGTCTGTCAAGTTTTTGCTCATTACCTCAATCATGGCTTGGATGAACATTCTACCTCTTTTTTCTGCAAGCATTCTCTTTCTCATTGGTTAAATCACATAACATTGAAGAACCAATTAGCAAGTGAATTCCACTGGGCTGGTGGTTTAGGGAAAAAAAAAAAAGAATGCGTTTTTGCTAGAGCAATCAGCTGGGCACAGGTATGGTAACTCTAGTTACCACTACAGATTGTCAGGGAACAATGGAGGGTGAAAGGGAGGGTTCATGGGCCCTCCTGATAGCAGGAACAAGATGGCATCTTTGCCATATATGTCTATCACTTCCTTTCTGTCCTGTGGCGTTTTCTAAATGAAGCCGGTCCCCTACAATATTGCCATAGCAAGGTTTAGGGAAGATGCTCACTACCAACTGGATAATCCTGCATGAATATCCAACCTCAACAAAACCTTAGACCATTTTGTTTTCACTGTTGTTACTTCTCTGAGTTGTTTCTCTCACTGTGTGGTCTCCATTGCCCAGAGCTTTGCTCTCAAATGTCTGTTTTGGGAAGAAAAAGAAACAAATCCACGTTGAAGTGCTCATCAAAAGGATGTATATGTTAGTAGGAGATTATTCCTAAATTCAAAATTCAAAATGCATCCACAATACATCTGTAATGCTGGGATTTTAGACACTGTTAACAAGTTGATGGAATGGTTGTTTCATGTTTGTTGGGAGACAGGGAAGGGGAGAGGTCTTTAAGCTGCCCTTAAGTCACCCTATATGAGTAACACTTACTCAGTCTAATTGTAAGTCCAGCCTTTATTTCAAAACTCACCTTCACATAAAGAGGGAAAAATCTAGAATATTATGTTTCATGAGGACAAGGATTTTGTCTGATTATTACACCCTGAAATCCCAAAGCTATCCTACAGTTTACATTTAGCCACTCACTGACCAGGCTCCCTCAGCACCCCAGGCTGGGCTCCTTAGAGGGTGCTTTATACTAGCCCTAAGAAATATAAATTATAGGCTTCCTTGGCCTCAGAAATTCCTCCATCTGTCGCACAAGCTTTCTCCATGCCTTCCTGGCAGTCATTTCAATTTTCATGACAGAAGAAAAAAAAAAAGGAAAAAAGAAAGGAAAAAAAAAAAAAGAAGTTGTGGTCTGTGCCACAACTTGAAGTTTCATTTAACGTAGATTTTGATGCGTGAACTGTACAATAACCCCAAGTTGGAGGTGTATTTTTTTATATTGAGGATGAGAGACCAATTAGTAGCTCTAACTCCTTAAGCAGATGGTTATCATATGATAACAGAGGTGCCTGTCCTCTTTTGCCATTAGAAAGGCATCTTTTTTTCTAATATCTTTCTCTAAAAAGAAAGGATATTATGCAGACAGATTGCATGGCTTAGACACCTCTGCAAAGTTGAGTTTACAGCAGGACGCGTGGAGCCTGAGCATCTTGTTCTTGAACCACTAGTCAGATTCAGTTCCTAAAAACTTGCTCCAAGGTAAAATACACGAATTCCAGGTGCAGACAGAGAAACTAAGCTGCTAAAATGTTTAGGTTTTAGGCCCCACCCCAAACCTTCCCAATACCTCCAACCCAAAATGGTTGGCATGCCACAGTTGGCCCTCAATTACCTGCGAGGGATCCTTCCCTTCTGTGGCTTGGAAACTCATGATAGAAGGAAAGTTACATGGACTTGGAGTCAGAGGGATCTGATTTGAATTTCAGCTCTGTGCTTTACAAGCCAGGTGACCTGAATCCATTTGCTTGAACTTCCCAGCCTGTTTCCTGTCCTGCAAAACTGAACTAATAATCATAGCTTTAGAGAGAGGTGAAGACTAAGTGAAATTGCAAGTGAAAAATCACAATGCCTGGCACTTTCACCTTCCCCTCAAAGCACAGGCTGAGAGAAACAGCATCACACTAAGCACTGATGGAGAAGCTAAGGGTCAAAGTATGAGGTGGTCGGGGTACTCTTGTCTTCATAGTCAGTGCAGTTGCTAAGAGCACTAACTCAGAAGTCTGATACATGCGGGTTTGATCTGTGGTCCCACCATTTGTGGGGAATGTGAGCATGGGTAAGATTCATAACTATTCCGAGTCTCACTGCTCTCATGCGTAAAGTGGGGTAATATCTATCTTGTTCATAGGACTGATGTGCCCATTAAAGGAGACAATTTGTGTAGTGAGTTTAGCAGAGGGTCTGGCCCATGATAAGCATCTTCTCCTCTTTCCCTTCTTCCTTCCCTTCCCCCTTCTCTTTTTTCTTATTTTTCTTTACTTTTTCCTCTTCATCTCCATCTACTCTTTGATGTATTCCAAGCAGCTATCACTTTCAATAATCCAGAACAGGCTGTACCACAACTTCTTCCCGGGAGACCCCCAGCTTGCACCTGTGCCCAGAGAGTGCAGTGTCACAATCTCTTAATAAAGAAATAAAGACAGTGGGAAGCCTTAGGACCTGGCCAGGGGTTGCTGTTTGCCAGGCCCTAGGTGGTCCTGAATCCAAGTTCTTTCTCTCTTGCTTGACCAAGCTCTTCATCTGAAGAGTGAGGGGGTGAGTCGGGATCTTCTATGGTTCCAACAGACTAAGGCTTCTTGGAGAGCTCTCACCTGCCTACTCATGCAGTCCGTTCTGAAATTTCCCCACCTCTCTGGCCATCAACACCCCATCCCAGGATTAAATGGGAGCTCAAAATTTAATACAAAATTTAGAACAAATTGTAGCATTGTACTACTTGCCAAATGTTTACCAAGTAAATGGATAAATGCACATTGAGATTGGACCACTCAAAAAGGATTTACTGGGAGTCTGCCCTGCTCCCCATGACTTCGTATAGTCTATCTTGGTCTCTTAATCTTCTAAAGTTTTATGGTCTCACAGTACATGTACTACAATTTAATATTTATTTTTTCCACCAGCTTCATCAAAACAATAACTTTGATTTAATATTAGAGTCTTAATAGCTTCCTAGCCCAGTACCTAGTAGTTTATAAGTGTTTCATAAAAAGCTCCTAAAAACTTGGGTGATTAAATTACTGAAATGTTTAGCTTATAAGAAAATTCCAGCTAACTGGATAGTAGATCTGTTGAGGCAAAGAATTCTGCACTTTTTAAATATTCTATACAACATTTAGCACTGGGTACAAATGTAGTGGGTACTTAAAACTACATGTTGGTCCTTATATTACAAACTTTATATCTGCATTTACGATGAAATTCTTCTGGACATCTCAAGTACAAAAGAATGATCTTCACGAAATCACAGAGCTAGAACTGCTCCTAAGGCCTAAGAGACAAGGACCATCCTTTTAAATGTTCTTGGAAAGATTGTAGAAAGAAAGTGGCTCTCCAACTGTTTATTTTAAAGTCACCCAAGGCCCATATGCTTATAAACAAGCAGTTCAGAAACCTGTTTCCTCACCACCATGAGGAACTTTCCTCTATCCCCAACACGCATACATGTTCCACTCTTTGAGGACTTGCCTTCTTCAAGGATGTCCCTGATATTGAGCACGACTTTCCTCATTAAGTGTTAGAGATATGGGAGTGAGGCAGGAAGGGTGGCAATGTATTTTTTGCCTTGAGTCCTGTACCTGCTCAAGGGATAGTTCAAAATCTCTAGAGTTGGCTCAGATTAAAGTGAACATCACCATAGTTGTCATCATCATTATCATCTACTTAATCTTCTCCTTTTCTTCCTTCCCCTCTTTCTCTTTCTCCTCCTCCTCTGGCTCCTCTTCCTCCTAGTACTCCTTCTGCTACTCCTTCTTTATCTCCTTCATCAGTATTCTTCTTCAACAAATGACTTACACCAAAGCATGGGCTACAAACAGGTGTTCTACTTCTGAGTTTGAGGAATTGGCCCATTCAAAATAGTCCTGAAAAATATCCCGGCCCTTGCTAGAGTAGGCACAGGTCTTTGACAGTGTGGAAATATCAACCCTGCTTATTCTTGGTCTGTAAGCACAGCCTGCTTTTCTTCATTTTGTTGGAGGACACAAAAACTCAGTGTCTCTTTAGTGAGGAGTGAGATCCTGGGACATGGAAGTGCCTGTCTCTGATTAGATATTGAGGAAGAGAGTCCATTGATTGACCTGCCCTCAGTAACCTAACGTTTGAAAGAAAATCCCTGAAGGGCCACACCTCCTAGTCTGCTGGAGGCCATACTCTCTACGGCAAGGCAATTACAAAGCATACATGCAATGAAAGTCACAGCATGTATTATCCCTTTCCACATCTACTGAAAGCCAGTTTGGCATTCAAGGGGTTAAGCCAGGATCAGCCGACCAAGGAGGCCAATTCTGCCCCTGTGGCTACCACCAGTCAAGTCTGTTGCTGAGGGCTTTAGACAGCTTGTACTTTCAACTCCGCACAATCATTTGTAAAGAAATAATCATTCCAAGTATATAGCGGCATCAAACTGATAATTTGAAAATGTGATTGCTTCCCCAGTTAACTAATCAATCCCTTATCTTTAAGGGTGGAGACACATAAAGAATATATGAGCAGATCAATAATTAAGTGAGTTTCACTTCTTTTTTCTCTCCTTCTTACAGATTATATATCTTTTTTCAGCAAATTTTCAAATTATATCAAATAATGAATGATTCATATAAGCTTTTTTCTTTTCCTATCCAGGATTCCTATAAGAACTGATGGGTGCCATATTCCTTTGATATATATGCACACAGATACCTTTCTTGAATACTTACTAAGTAAGAAGTATTCTGCTGAAGGCTTTCAACATATTCTCTCATTTTTTCATGGATTGTTTCATCTTCATAGGAGGCTAAAGTAGAAGAGTTGGCCCTTTAATGCTGTTCCTAAGTTTTATTTTTCTGCTACAATTAGGCCATGTCTCATCATCTCCACCCAAGGCTGATAAAGTTTCAAAGAATTTATTTGCTGTGTTTCTTCCCATTATTAAGCTCATAGCTGTGTGAAGAAAATCCCATTAAATAGCACTTGTCATCATTGGCCCTGCTTCATCCTGGCATCAAGCTAGATGTACCACACAATGATTTCAAGAGTTGCCAGCAGCTCTACCTGTGAGAGTATTAAGATGATAACACGACAATGAAGCTAAAGCTTGAGGTAAAAATCCTCCATTCATACTTTCTTTCTCTCTCCCCTACCCACCCATCCATCCATCCACCTGACAAACAACAGTTGAATGCCTACTATATGCCATCTCTGCCTTCAATAATCTTCCCGTCTAGGGCAGGATGAAAACTAACACAACATAAGGCACAGTAAGGAAAAGTTACCTGAGGGACAACAGATCAAGGAACGGTTGATTCTCACTGAGGAGACTGGGAATGTTTTCACAAAGACTAGGCAGAGTCTTAAAACTCTAGAAGAACAGTTATTGATGTGCTCCAAATGAAAAAAAGCATCACATGTTCAACATCCAATAGACAGTATTTGAATATATAAAAATAGACAATATTTGAAAATACAAAAAAGCACAAAAATAAAAGTCCTTTATAGTTTGACCATCATTTCATCTCCTACTGAAGTGTATTACACAAAAAGTCTAAGTCTCTTCCTCCATGCTTCTAATCCCAGCCTCCAAAAGGGTTAACAGTGCAATCCATCTGATTTCAGACTTATAATTTGCTCTTATATAAAGGTCTCACTTTACCCTCTCCTGCAACACATGCACAGAGTTTAAAACAACTAGCTCTGGAATCTAACTGGCTGGCTTCTCATCTCAGATCAACTACCAACTAACTGTGCAATTTTACACTAGTTATTTAACCTCTCTGTGTCTTATTTTTCTAACACGCAAAGTTAACAGAAGTGCATATTTTAGGTTTATGTTAAGAATTAGGCCGGGCGCGGTGGCTCACGCCTGTAATCCCAGCACTTTGGGAGGCCGAGGCAGGTGGATCATGAGGTCAGGAGATCGAGACCATCCTGGCTAACAAGGTGAAACCCCGTCTCTACTAAAAATACAAAAAATTAGCCGGGCGCGGTGGCGGGCGCCTGTAGTCCCAGCTACTCGGGAGGCTGAGGCAGGAGAATGGCATGAACCCGGGAAGCGGAGCTTGCAGTGAGCCGAGATTGCGCCACTGCAGTCCGCAGTCCGGCCTGGGCGACAGAGCGAGACTCCGTCTCAAAAAAAAAAAAAAAAAAAAAAAAAAAAAAAAAAAAAAAGAATTAAATGCAAAAATGAATATGAACACTTCCTGGAACATGGTAAGCTCTCAATAAATATAGTAATAGTAGTACACATAAATATAGACATATATACTTTGTTTTAAAAAGTAAAATGGCCGGGTGCAGTGGCTCATGCCTGTAATTCCAGCACTTTGTGAGGCCGAGGTGCGTGGATCACCTGAGGTTGGGAGTTCGAGACGAGCCTGACCAACATGGAGAAACCCCGTCTCTACAAAAAATACAAAATTAGCTGAGCATTGTGGCGGGTGCCTGTAATCCCAGCTACTTGGGAGGCTAAGGCAGGAGAATCACTTGAACCCAGGAGGCGGAAGTTGCAGTGAGGTGAGATGGAGCCATTGCACTCCAGCCCAGGCAACAGTGCAAGACTCCATCTCAAAACAACAACAATAACAAAAAAAGTAAAATCAAACAATATATATTATACTGTGTATTTTTTTTTATTATACTTTAAGTTTTAGGGTACATGTGCACAATGTGCAGGTTAGTTACATATATATACATGTGTATGTTTTACAATTAATAACACTTACACAAATTTTCACTAAATAGTCCATATTGGTCAATTTGATTCTCTTTTCAATTACTATACTGTAAGATTATTCCAGAATTTATTTAACCAATTCAGATTATCACCATAAAAATGTTTTACCTACACTTTCTTGCATTTCTCTTAATATTTGTGTAGGATAGTGATATGGTTTGGCTGTGTCCCCACCCAAATTTCATCTTGAATTGTAGCTCCCATAATCCCCCTGGGAGGGACCCGGTGGGAGGTCACTGAATCATGGGGGCAATTTTCCCCGTGATATTCTCGTGATAGTGAATAAGTCTCACAAGATCAGATGGTTTTATAAAGTGAAGTTTCCTTGCACATGCTCTCTTGCCTGCTGCCATGTAAGGCATGACTTTGCTCCTCCTGTGCCTTCCACCATGATTGTGAGGCCTCCGCAGCCATGTGGAACTGTGAGTTCATTAAACCTCTTTTTCTTTATAAATTCCCCAGCCTCGGGTATTTCTTCACAGCAGTATGAGAACAGACTAAGACAGACAGATTTGTGTAGGACACCCGGAAGTGTGATTTCTCAGTCATAAGGTACATGTGTTTTAAATTTTCATTAGAGATTAACAAATTCACTTTCAGTAAGTTTGCAGAATTTAAAATCTTACTGATTCTGTATGACAGAACCCATTTCCCCTGCCATCACCAACAGTGACTTTTTAAAAATAGTTTTTATGTGCATATATTTAAGTATTTATGGGAATGAATACTGAGATTAAATGATTAGCCTGTGTGAAAGATTTTAAATGGTATCTGGCACATCAAAATTTAAATAAAATATTCTAACTGATGGGACATCTTTTCATGTTTACTCGTCATGGCTCAGTATTCCTTATTCTTATCTTATTCTTATTCTTTGCCTTTATTTCCATTTTATTTCATTTTCTTACTGATTTATGGAGGTCTTTATATGTTTGACATATTAATCCTATAAGAAACAAGCAAATATGTTCTTCTTGTCCTTTCTTATAACTCCATTTAATGTTGAGTAGAATTTAGGTGGGTGAAAGTTGGTAAGGAATTTCAAGGAAGGAATTTCAAGAAGAGGGAACAGCATCTACAAAGACATATAGCTTCTTAGTGGAAGCTAGACTCCAAAACATTGACTAGAATTTTGTGGCTGAAATGTACATGGATATAAAATGAGAAAAGTATTTACATATAATCAACCTTGAGTGCCACCTAGGAAATGTGAGCTTTATTATGAAGGCCAGAAGAAGCCACCAAGGACTAAAGAGAAAAAGAGTGACAGGACCACACTGTGAGTCCTTATTGTGGGTCAGTGTTCTTAAACTGTTTAGAATCAAGACAAAACCACTATGTTGCCCAGTTCTAGGTGGAACTCCAGTCATCATTCAATTCTATAGGAAGAGTGGTCCCTAGAGTTGTACAATGCAAGTGTTGGTCAGGAATCCTTTGGAGAGTCTAAAGAAAGTCAATAAATCCCAGTGGAATTTACACAAAAAAACCTTTGCATTTAATGTCGAGTTTTCAGAGATACAATAAAACCCACCCACTAACCCCTTAAAGGCTCAGTTACTCAAGATTCTGAACCACTGCTCTGGGGCTTTTATGCAACACTGGAGTTTACTACTCATGGAACTTCAAACTACCGTACAGTTAGGGTTAAATCAAACTATTGCAAATTTAAAATTTCTATCTTAAGGCCATGGAAATGCACTCTGTAAGGCCAAGACATTCCTGGACAGCATTTTAAAGCAGTGCCATTCAATAGAAATACAATGCAAGTCACAAATGTGAGCCACATATGTTAAGTATAAGGTTTCTGGTAATCACATAAAAAAAGTAAAAAGAAATAGATAAAATTAATTTTAACACAATATTTACCTAACCGAATATATATAATCATTTCAATATGTAATCAGTATGAAATGTTTTTAATCAGATATTGTACAATATTTTTTCATTCTAAAATGAAATGTGATGTGTATTTTATACTTACATTGCATCTCAATTCAGACTAGTCACATTTCAAGGGCTCAACAGCCACATGTGGCTAGGGGCTACCATATTGGACAGCACTGTTCTGAATCATCTTTCTTATTATCATTTTCTCTAAACCCATTTTCCACCCCCCATATTCACTTAAACCTAATTAGGCCGCACTACACCTGCTGATTCCCATGTTCCATCAAACTCTCTTCTTAGACATTCTCACTATGTTATGAATGCACAATAGTAAGTTTTCTCTCCCTAGACCATTTTACTTTGTGCTTGGCATCCCATTGCAGAATGGGAAATGTTAATCTAGTGGGGGAAAAAATCAAATATCAGGGAAGAAGAAAAAATAGGGAATAGAAAAAATTCAAATATCAGGGAAAAAGAAAAATATCTCTTTCAAAACAGGTGGTGTTTTATAAATTACAGCATTTTGGGGAACACATGGCCCTAGAGTAAGATCCTCATGCAGCTCTTCTCTGTCCCACTACAGGGAATTCCAAATTGGGCATTGCCTACCTGAGCATTTTCTCCACACTTTAGTTTAGATTGTTGAGACAACAGTAGTGAAGACTCTGACAATCCAGGCAGTCATAATATGATGGACTACCAGGCTAGATCTGTTTATCCACGTCAACTTACAATTAGAGGGGAAAAAACACTGAGCTTCAGATATATTGTCTGGGGATAAATATAATATTCCCAGAATAAAGTTTATTTGGGAGATGGTGAGCAGAGTAATGGTAACATTACTCTGATCCACATGCCTAAAAATTTAACAGAATCTTCTCTGAAAAAAAAAAAATTTAAATATGACTCTAAAAATTGTATTGAATTGAGGAATAGATGCTAATGATTAAATATGAAGAAAAAGGAAAAGCAAAACAACACCTCAAAATGTTTCTTATTTCTAACTCTGTAGAAATAATAGCATTAGCTACATCTGACAACATTAAAAGTAATGCAGAGAATCCTCCTATGACCCCACTGCCACTAAAAGACATCGGAATTGCAAGGGCTCAGAGACCAACAGACTTGGGGAACCTGGCTCAAGTTCAAAACCCTAGGAACTCTATGTTCCTTCCTTCCAAGTGAAAAGAAGACACGCTTGGTAGTGTCACGATTGCAGCTATAAGCGGCAGCCTTCTAATTAAAAATAAACTGAGTCCATTATTTCTATTTACAGCTTTTCCACAATTTAGCAGCAATGTGACGATAGAGAGAAATGTTGGAAGCATATGTTTAAAAATCCCAAATGCTTTTGAGAGCATCGTTAGAGTAAACATCCTGTGAATGTGTTTCTTTACCTTCAATGCCCATCTCCAAAGGGCTTTCCAAGCTGGGCAGGGCAGCTCTTGCAGCATAAACATGTTTCTCATCAGAAGGAATGGCTCAGAAAAGACACACTACAATTAAATTAGTAACTAGAAAGCCATACTTTGGACTCTAGACATTCCCTCTTGCAGTATGCTCTTTGTTTTTCCCATGGATATTGAAAAATGGTAAAGGGCAGGAGGGAGTAACAGGCAAAAGGAAGTTGGAACAGAGAAAAAGAACAGGTCAGAGGGCTTTCTGAGTAGAATATTTGATTGGATTTACACATGAAAATTGTTTAATAAATATTTGCTGGATGAATCTTCTAAAGACCAATGGCCATCTGCCAGATATTTTGAATGCACGTGATATCGTGGGATGAGTATGGCAGAGTTTCTCAACTTCCGCAATAGTGTAATTTGGGGCCAGACAATTCTTTGTTGGGGACTCTAGGATGTTAGCAGCACCCTGGCCTCTATCCACTCAATTCCAGTAGCACCCCCGCCCCCGCCCAGTTGTGATCAATCTAAAATGTCTTCAGACATTGCTTAATGTACCCTGTACCCTGGGGACAAAATCTTGCTGAGAACCTCTGCTGCATGGCAAGGCTTCATCCATTCATTTATTTGACAAATCTGACTTTTATGTCTCCAGCACTGATTGATATACTGGTCCCTACCCTCAAGTGGTTCCCAGTCAAGGGTCAGAGAGCATATTTAAAGTGATAAGACACAATAGTATGTAGCTTGACTCTTAGAAAGTAATTGGGCATTCCTTTTTGAGGATATTTAGAAAATATGCCTTTAACTTTAATCGAAACAAGGTTATACATTTTGAAAAGTTCTCAAATAAAAGCCTATTAAACTTGGTGCAGCTTTCTGCTCTGCTAGTGGCTAACATATTGAAGATGAATTTGAAGGATCTCAGAGAAGCGGCAAGCCTGGCCCCTATACATCTTGGCTGACTTCATAAAAAACAAGGGTGCTGCTTTGTGACCTGCTCGGCCCTACAAGAAGATTGTGTAACATGCAGCATGCCTTTGATTCAGATAAACTCCCAGATTATTAAAAGGATATTTTTTTCCCTTTTGAGGTCAAGGTGAGTCACTGGAGCTTTTTCCCTGTTATTAACCAAGCACTAGATGTACAAAGCTTAGATATTAAAAGGCATTAGCCAAGGCATCCTGGCCATCTAGTTTAGCGCAAATGCAAAACTTGAGGGGGAGGCTGCGTTACTCACAAAACAAGTAAACAGCCTGAAATATTAGAAGCTGAGTATACAAACCCATTCAAATTTCTATGGCCAAGTAACAAGGAGGTGTAGCCAGTTTCCTGAGCATCTGAGGCCAGCCTCTCCCCAGTGTAATTCTAAATAGAATATATATATTATATAATATATTATATATAGTATATATATAAACATATATACTATATATATTATATACTATATTATATATTATATATATAAACATATATACTATATATAATATATAAACATATTATATTATACATGATATAGATAAACATATATATTATATATAATATAGATAAAATATGTTATATATAATATAATGTATAGACATATATTATATATACATATATTCTACATATATTATATATATATTCTACACATATTATATTATATATACATATATTCTACATATATTATATATACATATATTCTACATATATTATATATACATATATTCTACATATACATATATACATATATTATATATACATATATTATAGATATATAATATATAAACATATATAATATTATTATATATAATATATATAATAATATTATATAATATATAATAATATTATATCTTATATATAAATAATATATATATTTTATATATATAATATTATATATATATAATATATATTATATATAATATTATTATATTATATATTATATATATACTGACTTACATTGATCCGGAACTGCCAGCAAATCTCTACGTTCTTGCAATAATCTGGATGTTTATTTCCACCAAGAAGTGTGATGTTTGTAGCACAATGAACCAGGCCCCCTCCTGAACTCTGGGTCCACCCTCACCCCTTAGAAAGCAGTGCAGCCCTCCTCACCCACTCCTAAAAAGGTTGCCAACCTTGGTGGAAACCAATCAGATCACTTACAACAAATTCAAGTTCAAAAAGTGTGTAAGTCTGATGAACTCATCAAAAGCACCCCAAAGCTAGAATCATACTGTTACCATAACTTTTGAATTACATTTTCCAACACAGGTTAAGCTGGCAAGAAGAGTATGAGGAAGGATGGAAATAATTGTTTTAAGCCAAAATGAGCCCCAGTCTTTGCGACACCCTTGCCAATGGCCTTTTACTTCCAACACTGTTGTTTTAGCCACATAGAGAAGCTTCTCAGAACAGAGTTCAGTAATTACACTTCTCTGATATTCCCGCCTGTTTCCTACTAAGACAGACCTTACACACTCAGAAGAGGAGGTACAAAGGATGCACACAATCTGGAAAACATTGCTGCCTCCCGGTCAAACAGACCTTGAGAAGTACTCAGGAGGTTTCTCCCACTGGAGCTAGAGCAAGACAGGCTGGTAATGGCATGAGTGTCTACAGGCCATGCTCCATTCCTTTATCAATAGCATCTACCTAGTAGGCCTAATCCTGGGAGGAATGTCTTCTCATGAAGAGTTTCATCAACTTCCTTAGGACATGCTGTTCTTTTTTATTTTCATTCTACCTGGGGCCTGGACACTGAGAATGACTCTGATCAGATTCTAAAGTCTGCCACCTGACTCTTCATTTTCCTGCAGGATCCAGCCACGGGATCTGCATCATTTCACTGCCTTCCTTAATCTGAACTATCTAGATGTGTTATTGCTTCTTCACATTTTTAAATTTTGAGTGAGAAGCTATAAGAAGAGAAGCCTGAAAGGATAACTAATGATGAAGTTTTGTCTGTGGCAGAGGGTAGGGATGATCTGACTACTTTAACCACATCATACTTGAAACTGCCACAGTTGATCACCGCTTGAGGCCCACCAACCTGTGTGTACAAGATGCTTACTGTCTACCAAAAATCCCTATTCCACTTCCACAGTGCACGTTTTTCATACACTGGTACATTGGCCAATATCACTAGGCAGAATTCACCCAGCCCCAGCCCCACTTCCAGCGCACTCCCTACCTTCATTAGATGGGGTCTGAAGAGGTTCTTAGCAATGGAATGTGAGCAGCTCAGTTTTGAGCCTTTGAAATGCTTTCTTCCTCTGTCTGCTGGCCTGTTATAGGGATTCCAAGGCCTTAAAGGATGGCAAAACCATAAAATGGAAGAAGTCTAATCCTATGTAGAGGAGATCTTCCTGACAACCAGGAATGCCCACATAGGATTGTTATATGAATGAGAAATAAACTTTCGATGTGTTCAACCACCGAAATCTCCTGAGTCTCTGTAAAATAGCTTAACCAGATGTTAGCCTAACTCATACACCAGGCCAATAGTGTATGAAATAATGGGAAATAAACCTATGAGTATCTACCAATATTTATTGAGAGTGGATTTATAATATATAGCTATTCTGTCCTTGCCCTTTCATGCAAGTTTTCTAGTGTCATATCAAACTCAATTCCATTTATCAAACTTTTGCTGAATACCCCCCTTTTGCCAGGGTCTATGCTGTGTTTTGGGGGACAAATTGATGATATCTGAAAATCAGCCCCTCAAGAAATTCCCATTTCCTTTTGTCCTTTGAATAATTTGATTCAGCTACCATCTATTAAGCACCAGTTTTATGCCAGACACTGGACTAGACCAGTGATACAAACACAGTCCTCTTCCTTCAGAAGCCCATTCATATTCCATTTCCAGCCTCATTCTACCACCCTTTCTACAAGAAAAAGAGGATTTGGCATGTTCTGACTCACACAGAAGGTAGAAGAGCACATGCAAAATCTTCTGATGGTTGGACAAATTTAGCAGCATGGATATTTGCAGATATACAATTTGTGTCATATTCCTATTTATGTATGCATCCCAGGCTCTGTTGCTTAGTGGTTGCTACTCTCATATTCATTTATGTCCTTTTATAGCTAATAATTTATTGCAAATCTAGTTTTTAGAATGTAAAATAAAGGTTCCATGCAGTACTAATCCAGGTTCTAGTCAGGAGCCCAAGTATTAGCTTATATACTTCTGCAGGCTTCTTCTATTGTGCTGCTGCCCTACAGAAAAAGGTGGGTCCTTCTAACTCTGTCTTCCATTGGGATGACCCTGACCTTTGGTAGGCCAATTTCCAGCTGTGGAATCAGGCAGCTTAGCCTGTGAGCCCTGCTTTGTGATCAAACCTTAGAGATCAAACATCAAACTGAGGTGTCTACATGGCCCAGTAGAGTTCCAGACAAATGGCAGACACTCGCTGTATTTTTGTGGAATAAATAAATGAAAGATGGGTACCTTATTAATTTGACCACTCAGAGATTTGTTTTCCCCTTTATGACATACATTGGCCAATTGCTACTCCTAGGGAGAGAGTTTGCTAGGGATATTGAGATTTAATTTACTGGTGAGGTCGAAGAATCACAAATTAGTCTATTCTTTCATGCCAACTTTGATCAATCAATAGAAGTTCCCTGAAACACTGTGGGAGGATTCTGAAACTCGGTGGGAGATGACTACTTAGTGTATTGGTAATGCATACCATACATATATATGGTAGAGAAGTGTGATAATGAGCATGCCAGATAGTATCATCCCTGCAGCAGGTCCTTAGCTGACAACATGGTCCATGAGGAGGGATTGTGGGACCTGGGTGTTCTCAGCTATAATATAAGCAAATGAGTTAACAAATAAAAGAGATTATTGAAAAGATCAAATAAACTTTTAAAAGCTCAATGTTTTTGGTATGTAAGTATTTCTTGCCTACAGGAAAGACAATGGATCAAACGGCCATGGTTGTTCCTCCATTCCAGGAGCATCCAGCAAACATGGCTACCTATCACCTACTCATAACCAGTCAGTGCCCGCAGCTCACAGTACCCACCGCAGGCTGAGAGGGTGAGTTACAATTAATATGTTAGGCTTTTGGAATCCATAATGCATTTTGACATAAAAACTATGATTTTGTGGTGACTTTGAACTCTAGGCCCCCAGGCTAGCCAATAAAAGTTGATTTATGATAATATTTTAATTAACCTAAATTTTGGGTCTATGCAAAGGGCAAAGGAACATGTAATATAGAAGAAAAGAGGAAGAGGAAGAGAAATGTGCTTTCTCTCCATATTCTAGTCAAAGGGCTGGCCTTGAGCAAAATTTTGAAATGGGATAAATTATTTTAGCCTCATTTCCACCTTATCTCCTCAATATCTCTTCTGCCATCTGTTGCTCTTCTCAAAACTCAGTTCCTCCAGAGCATTCTAAACCCCACACTGTCCAGGTCCACCTAGACTTGGTTTCTAACCTCTCCCTCCTTCAGTGTTTCATGATGCAAAATACCCTATGTCCTATAATCAATCAAAAGCTTGGCTAGGACCTAGTATGGCGACTCATACCTGTAATTCCAGCACTTTGGGAGGCCGAGGTGGGAAAATCACTAGAGGCTAGGAGTTCAAGACCAGCCTGGCCAACATAGTGAAAGCCTGTCTCTACTAAAAATACAAAAAAAATTAGCCAGGTGTGGTGGCGCACACCTGTAATCCCAGCTACTCTGTAGGCTGAGACTGGAGAATCACTTAAACCTGGGAGGTAGAGGCTGCAGTGAGCTGAGATCATGCCTCTGCACTCCAGCCTGAGTGAGACTTTGTCTCAAAAAAAAAAAAAAAAAAAAGTTTACCCAGATTTTAGAAAGAAAGCAAATTGGATGTAGCAATTTCATACTAATGTGTAAATGACTTATAGCCTCCTATCTTCTCCAGAGGAATTTTCCTTTTTAATGAGGTATTATAGAATCAAATTGAATCTACAATTAGTTAACTTTCCAGCAGCATCACAGCAAAATGAACCTTTCCACAGGTGGTAAGAGAAGGAATCTGTAGGGAGGAGGACCACCTCAGGATCAAATAACTATGGCGCTGTATCTGTCCTTGTTCTGTTTCTCCTTTCTCCAAGGCAACTCCCTGAAGCTGTTACTTTCTTGTCTTCATAATGTCTTCTCTGCTTCTATTTCTGACTTCATATACTCTCTATAAACTTCCAAGATTTTTATTAGCCTCTATCACAGCAGAAGCAGAAGATCATTCTGTTGTGTTTCTAGATGAGATGAGCCACCATCCTTTAAGCACAGGAACTATTTATAAATAGTTTTGTTTGTAAGTCAAGAAATGCATGTATTCATACACCCCCTCCACACACACACCCCAAATAAATGAAAAACAAACCAAGCCAAGACTCTGAAAATCAACAGTGTAAGCACAGTCAACAGAAGGCACATGTCAGAAAATTGTTGAAACAATGAAAGGGAGGGTCTTCATCATTAAAATATGTGGTAGTAGAAAGTGATTCTCTAAAGTTAGTGTCTTTCTCTCTCTGTCTCTCTCCCTCTTCATGTTTTGCCTTTTTCAGTGTTACCTTTATGGTAAGAAAATAGGCCAGTCCCTTATGTTGAAAACAATTAATACATTTTCTTGATAATTTATTTGCCAATGTCTGAAATGGATTTCTAACAAATAATAAAAGATAAAAGATTAAACGTGCTCTCCCTTAAGCCAAACTAAAATGCACTCAGCCGAAAGGGAACAGTTTTAGAAAAGAAGTAGGTGGGTGTTCTTAATCCCACTTTTCAGATGAAAGATGCCACTCAATAAGGTCATGACCTCCTGACCACTGACTGTAAGAATTTTTCATTTTACCTTATTTATCCAGGTGCAATAGAAGGGGCACTTTCATCCCAGTCCCTCCAACCCTTCCCTTCTTCCCCTCTTGTCTCCTTTTCCCTTCTTTGAGAAGTCCATTGGAGTATTCACACACCCTCTCTTTCCCATCATGCTGTGCAAAACAGCACCTGGGGCGGCCTGCAGAGCTTGAGAGTGGTCCAAAAAAAAAGAGGAGAGAAGCTGGTGAATGGCTGGAGAGAAGGTAATGATTTGTAATTGCAATACTTTCATTACTGTCTTTTAGCTCTTTGCAGAGTAATGTCAAGAGCTTCGTCTTTGTAGTGTTATTGGCATTTTTCATCATATTCATGAAGTTTGGGTCAATTTTCTTCAAAAGGCGCACTTCGCCAACTTGCCACAGAGACAGACAGTAATAAATTCTACTAGTGCACTGTGAAGGCTTCGTAGCTGCAAGCAACAATAAAAAGCAATGAGCTGGGTGTCACTAAGTAACTCCAGTTTACACTGCATTTTCTTCTTTTATTGAAAACTCAGAATATGAATTTATTAATGAATACACAGGCATACTTTGAAGGGGGGGTGGCGGTGCAGGAGGAGTTGTGGGGGGTGAGACACCATGTCAATTTATTTGGTATTCACACTGTGTGTGCCTATATTGTATTGTTCCATCATTTCATGGCCAGGCTTACCTTGTTAGGCTGTGGCCCTCCAGAAAAAACCCGAGCTCATATAGCAACACCTTGACGTGGATCTACAGCTGCTCTCACTGTGCCTGTCTCACCTTTAGCCCCGGCTGTCTACTGCCGCCTTTCATTTTCCGCATTCATACATCAATAAGCTTTGCATGCTGACACCTAATTTTGCAGGCTACTTTGGTTATGGAGGCCGTGTTTTGCATATCACTACCCACCCCCTTCTGACACCTACTGCCTTTAAAGGGAAATGAGAAGAAGAGAGGAAGAGGCAGAGGAAAGAGAGAGGAAGAGAGAGCAAGAAAGAGAAAGCTTCTTTTCTTCTCTGCCTAATCAGAGATTTCTTTATATTTGTCAAAAGCAGATATGCCAAATCAACTTTAATTGATTCCTCGGCGGCACTCACAGATGATTTTTGAAGGACTGGGCTTGTATTCCCAGACACACTGTTGTGTTTCCAACAAAAAAGGAGGTTTCTCCCACAAATCAAATTTTGATGCCAATTAGTTAGCATTTTCCATTCCAATTAAATTGGAGACTTGGAGACCTTTCTGATTTGGGAAGACTTTATATATATTTTATATTAAAAATGCCCTTCAGGGGCTAATAAGCAAGAAGGGAATGTCCGTGGGTGGCAGTAGGCACTGGGTGGGGGTGGGGGACAGAGAGGTGTTGTGGGCATTTTCAGCTTCTTTTCCTTGTTTATTTCACAAAGGTTTGTCAAACCCATGGCAACCTGTTATATGACATCACAAAGGTTTTTACCTCGCAGTTAGGTGGCTAATGGCATTAGAGCTTTGACAACCCATAAAATGTAATAATCTAATAGTTTTTTTTCCTTCTGTACCCCACCCTTTAAACCCTCTGAGACCTCATCTTGCAAAAAGAGAATTGGGGATATAGGTAGAGGGGAAACAAGATTGATGTTAAAAAGAACAGGCTTTGGCCGGATTTGAGAGATTTTACAAACAAAACAAATAAATAAACAACAGCACAAAATAAAATGGGAGGAAAAAACCCAAATGTAATAGAGATGCCTCCATACCCTCATATACACCTGTGAGCACATGACTGTGAAGACATGCCTGCTAATGACATGTCACCAAGAATTTCTAAATCTACTAAATTAAGTATTTATCATGTGTACCAGAACACTTTAAAGGGAAGAAAATGTCAGTGCAAATCTAGTTGTAATTTTAATTTAACAGTAACTAAAATCAGTTTGAGCAGTCTCAGTGTTTCTTTTCCCCTTTCTTCTCCATCACATGCCCAACCCTCTTTTATGTTTCTCTTCTGCTTGAAATTAGCCTTAAAAAACAACAAGAAGGTGTTATCTGCTGCAAGGTCAATTGTGTTGGAGGCAATCCTGGGGCAAAGGTAGAGGACCTACTTACAGAGTGTGAACTCCAATCACCAGCCAGTATCTTGACCACTTCCCTTCCTATCAGCACAGGCACAAGCTCAAGTTCAATGTCCTGTGCACCTCTGTTCACACTCATAATCTCAGTGCCCATACTGTGTAACCTGAAGCCTCTTGAGGAAATAAAGTTAAATGCCTAATGCCTAGATTAAAGCATGACTAGCATGTGTATGGCACTTAACACTTCTGAAACACATTTTTCTGTTTTTACTCACTTATCCTCAGAACAGCTGCATGATACAGGCAATGTGGGTGCCATAGGAGAAATGGGCTCAGCTGGGATCACCCAGAAGGAGGGATGAGAGCCTTCTGTGCCACAGACTTAAGGTTCATCCTCATAGGGTCCATGTGAATGAGGGTCAAATGAGATAACATGTCAGCTGTGATTTTAAACTGGGATTTTAGCACCACCTGGCTGACCCCACAGCAAGTCTTCATTTCATGGTCCAGTTTCCTTCCAAGACAACCTCATGTTTCTTATAATAGTACTCAGCATACTTTAGACAGCCTGAAAAGTCCTATGCAAGAATTATCTCATTAACCTTTTAACAACTCTACTAGTACCCCCATTTTACAGATGAGAAAAGTGATGTTCAGAGTAATTGAGTCCATTCCTCGAGGTCACACATCTTGCCATTAGGGCAGAGCCAGGATTCAAACCTAGCTATCAGCCTGTGGTAGGCCACCTTCAGCCTTATCTCTCTTTGGACTCCCCCAGAGAGACAGCAGGCTCTTCACTAGGAATTAATATAACTAGAATTAATTTAAGTTTTAGAAAATCTGTTTTTTTAAATACCTCTCTGGCTCCTAGTAAGTGTGATTTTTGCACAGAAATGTAGTCCACTCCCACCATTTTAGGGAGCCAAATAGTTTAAGGCTGCTCTCTTGGGTATAATAATATTCCTCAATTACCCCAGGTGGAAATAACTAAATGAGGAAAGTAAAATAAAATAAAATAACAACAAGCCCCCAAACCATGAAACAAAGCAGTGTGCATGTGGAGACTAAAACTGAAGTTCTAGGCACAATGAGCCAAATATGAGTTCAAACAACGTAAGTATGCCTATGGGGTATGTTTTACCTATGGGGAGTATTAGACAATATTCAGTTAGGAGAAATCTTCCTCTGTGAGAGGGCTGGGTATGACATCCTCTGGACAGGCTCACCACCAGCTATAAAAAGAGGAATTATGAGGACGACTGAACACTGCTCACATTCACAGGGTGCTCCGCTGCATTGTCAATTAGCATGCGTGTTTCCATAATTGTTATACAAGGGAGAAATTTACAGTGTTAAATGGCCCTCAAATTCACACTTCTGTGTGAGTTTTTGTTTGGTGGTGTGTCTAGTATTAGCATGGATGATTGCCTCTGACATCTCTTTGCCTCTGAAGACAAAAACCACTAACATAAAAATAGGACAGGCACACCAGAGGACAATGATACTATTTATTCTTTAGGCTAAGATAGATGCATAGACAGATAGATAGACAGATAGATAGATAGATAGATAGATAGATAGATAGATAGATAGATAGATACATACATACATACATACATACATACATACATACATACATAGATACATAGATAGATAGATAGATAGGTGGGAAGCTAGATTAGATAGATGGATAGATAGACAGATAGATAGATAGATAGATAGATAGATAGATAGATAGATAGATAGATAGACAGACAGACAGACAGACAGATAGATAGATAGATATGTGGGTATGTAGACACATTTTTTTTACTTTTTTTCTGTGAAGGGAAGGTTTTGCTGTTCTCATATGTCTATCATTTCTTCATATTGGCCTCTTTTATAGATTGAATGCAAATTCACATTTTCAAGTTTTATATGTCACGTCTTGTGTATCCACTCATTTCCGAGGAGAACAAGACAGACTATGACTGGAGGACTACATGAAAGATTTCATTTAACCTTGAGAAGAAACTTCTTCAAAACAAAAAAACTCCAAGAGTTGTGAATTTCAAAGTAGATTAGTCCTTCATCTGTTTAGATAATTTTGGATATGGTGTGGTCTGAAGACAGAGACTGAACCAGATGGTATCTAAAAGTTATATTCAGTCTTTGATTCTGCAAACTTGTAACCTCCACCCCTCATACATACATATACACTCATATACCACACACAGACATCATGCACATGTATATTCACTGACAAAAGAAATACTTAAGTTATAACGTGAAGATCAATATAGAGTGCTAAACTGTCAGATAACTAAATGATCCACCATAGTATAGAATTTAAGAATTAGAACAATGCTTTTTGATTAGAAGGCATGCTCCTTTATTTTATAAATCAGTAAAATATGGTTCAGGGAAGTTAAGTTGCCATGGTCACACCGCAAGCTAGATGAATAAACGTGTCACCATTTAGTTGTTTCCAAATATTATGTTTACCCTCAAAGAAGCACTATTTACTATTTCCAATGTGATTCAAAAAAACAGATCGCAAGTACCAAAAGGTATTAATTTATTATTTATATCTCCACCTTATCCCATAAATAACTTAAGATAATCAGAAAGACAATTGCAAAAGAACTGCAAAATGAAGATGATAAAATGTTGTGCAATGTCATATTACTTAGATTAAATCCTTGTGTATTAGTTTAAAAGTCAGTTACATTATCCTATTAACCCATCTTAATTTTAAAAAGATAAGTAAAGTATAAATCAATCAAGATAGGTGACGTTCCTGGACATTGGCATAACCATAATATTTCTGGTCATGGCTACTTGACCAGAGGAAGCTGGTTGCTTCTTGCCTCAGTCCTTCGTGTTTCAAGGAAAGACTGCAAAGTTGTCCTCCGCAGATCTTAGACCTTAGACAAATCAATCTACAATATAGTCTCATAGTAAGGAGGCTTATGAGTGAGAATAACTTCAAGGACCAAGACAGGGTTAGGTGATAGAATGATGCACAAGAAGCAAATAATGTCGTTTCATTTCACTTTCATCAAAGAGAAGAAAAACGTTAAGTCTGACAATATCAGCTTTGCCAAATATATGAAACAAAGGGGACTCTCATACCTGCTGGTAAGAATGAATTGAGTATATTATGTCTCATGTAAGGGGGTAAGTTGGGGGTTGAGACACAAATTCAGAAGTTTCAATGTAAAGATGGTATTTAAAGCCATGAGATGGGTTAAAATAATCTAGGGAGTGAGTGTAGACAGAAACAAGAAATTCCAGGGTCTAAAACTTGGACCTCCAACATGTAGAAGTTGGGAATTTGAGGAGTATCTATTAAGGAAGACTGAAAAAGGAAGAAACCAAAGAGAGTAGGGTCTCAGTTTTCCATGAAACTTTCAGGACAAGTTATCAACTGTGCAAAGGCTGCTGGTAATTCCAGTGCAACATGACAGAAACTGATCTGGCTATGCTAGCCAATGTTGGCTTAAACAAAATCACCCTTCTCAGAAGTTATCACCTGTTAATAAAGGGTCTTGGGAACCACATATTAAACATAATAATAATAGCTATCCTATTATTTTCCTATATCCTACTTACTATCTACACTGTGAGAGCCTGTATGTGCCAAGTGTTTTAGATACACTAATCTGATTTGGTCCATACAACAAGTGCGGGAGGAGGTAGAATTGCCCAAACTCTTAAATGAGAAAATTTAGGTGCAGAGAGATTAAGTGACTTATCTGAAGTCACCCAGGTAAAATGTCTGAAACTGGGATGCTAAATCCAAAATAAAATGCAGAGTTGCCAAAAACTGAGAGGCTAAATGTCTAACATTTGGGGTGTTGTGAAGGGGATTGGAAGCAGCAGGCTTTGCCCACTTTCCTGAGGGCACAAACAGCTGCCACCTGGGCCAATTCACCCAGGGTGGGTGACCAGACATCTTTGGTTAGCAAAAGACCAAAGGACTGTCTTGTGATTGCAAAGCTTTCAGTGCTAAAATTGGGGAAGTCTCAGTCAAACTGCTGATGAGTGGTCACCCTTCATCCAGTGAAACCTCCTTCGAAATGCCGTTCAGGGAGAAAGCAGCCATAGTTACCTGTCGCAGGTTTTGCATTCTGTGTGAGCTTGCCTGGGTGGTCCCAGAGCCTCTGTAGAATTCTGAACCAGCTCTTTAGTCTCTCCTCACTACTCCCACTAAATGGGACCTTGGAGTTGGCAACCAAAAGCAAGGTCACTCTCCCAGGCCTCTTACATTGAGGGACCTGTTCACTGGGCTCCCCTTAGATTCCTAAGGCAGTCCTCTGGGAAACCCAAAGGTGTACCCCCAGTGGTACAAACCCCTCAGCTCCCCTGGAAATTAACAGAGGCATCCTGGGCATACGAGGCCCTGTTTGTCAAATTCCCTCTGATCTATCCAGCTAATGAGGTCAAAATAGCTATGTCCATAAGGGATACATTTTCTCAATGGAGAGCATATGCCTCAGAAAACACATTGAAAATATTTATCTTTTCTCAGAGTACAGGCAGAGCAATATAGAATACTAGCTTGTAAAAATGCTCTTTGAAAAGCAGAAGAAAAAAAATCGTAAAGCATAGGAAATGAAAAGGGAATCCTCCCAAACCATGCTGCCAGTTGCCATGCGGGAGATTTGCTTGTGCCATTTGGAAAGCTTTGTTACAGGCTCAGCTGATAATATGTTGAAGCAAACACACATGCCTCAGAGATCCTGGGCCCCTTTTGGGCTTGAGAGAGGCCTGAGATCCTGGAGACACCTTCCAGTAGAACCTGTACCGAGCTGCTAACCACTGACCATTGGCAGAAATCTGAGACTTGCAGAACTAGAAGTGCCTTAATTATATATGATTCTTCACAGAAGGGAGGCTGTTCTGACTCACTCACATCTCCAATTCACTCTAGACCCGTGGTTCTCAACCAGGGATGATTCTGTCCCACCTCGGGGGACCTTCAGCAGCATATGGAGAAATCTTGGGTTGTTTCCAATGGCAAGAAATGGACAGGACCATCTCATAGGTGGAGGCAGGACTGTTGCTAAACATCCTGCATTCCACAGGACAGACACCCACACCAAGAGTTATGGACCCCAAAGAGTAACAGTGCCCAGGCTGAGAAACTCATGTCTAGATACTTCCTCTTACACTATCACCTCAAATTCACCACCAATAGAATACATTTCATCATCTTTTTCCAGACCTGTCTCACCTTCTGATACCTTAACTGATTTCCATAGTACCACTATTTTCTTAGTCACTAGGTTAAAAAATCATGGGTTTTTTAAAACTTATTTCTTTCCTTTACTCCCCTCACCACACACACTTCCCCCATCTAATTATTCATAAAGTCATATGAATCTTCCCCAAATATACTTTTCTCTTATTCTCACTTCAATCTCTACCAGATTAGTCAGAGCTTCCCATGTTATACCTGAATCATTGTCACAGCCTCCTGTTTCTCCTTTTGGTCTCTTTATTCTAACCTGTATTGGTCAGGGTAAGCTAACTGTTGTAACAAACAATCCCAAAGTCTCAGTAACTTAACACAATAGATGTTTATTTCTTACTCACGTAAAGTCTAATAGGTGCCAAGACAGATAAGGTTCTGGTCCATACAGTCATTCAGGGACCCAAGCTCCTTGCAAATTGTGATCCTACCATCCCACAGGATTTTGAAGTTCTCTCTCAGATCTTCTGCTTCTGGCTGGCAGACATGGAAGGGGATGTGTAGGATCACATTTGGTAGGTTACCCCTGGATGTGGCACAAAGCCCTTCCACCAGCATTTAATTGGCCAGGACTCAGTCACATGGCCTTCCCTTGCTGCAAGAGATACTGGAAAAGGTAGTCTAATTGTATACTCAGGAGGGAAAACACATTGACTTTGGTGAATTCATGACAGTCTCTGCTACATATCTTTTCTGCACATTCCTGTCTGATGAATCTTTCTCAAATGCCATTATTTAATAACATTTGTACCACATTACCATTCTGTTTGGAAACTTTTAAAATGAGTCCCAATTGTCTACCTATTAAAGGCCCAAATTGCATCTCCAATTAAAACAAAACAAAACAAAAACCTATCTTTTTCCACCACACCTGCCCCTGGTGCCCTAACCCAGTCACTGCAGAAGCCTCCATCTCTCCACACTGCCTCCTGCATCCTATTCTGTATCTTTGTTTCTGGCTTTTCCCTATTCTGGAATTCTTCTCTCTACTTCTATGAATATCAGAACTCATAAGTCCCCACCCTTAACTCCCCAGCCCGCAGTGACTTCTTCTCTGAACCTGAATAACAAACAGCAATCATGGACTAAGTGATTAAAACATCTCAGGAACTTGTGCTTAGCATGTATATGCCAATCATTTCTCATCTGCATGATCTCACTTAATCTTTACAGCAATGTACAGAGTAAGTATTATTGTCCTATATCCTACTTTTCCTTTGGAAATGGAGGCTCAGAGAGGTAAAGTGACTCACTCTCATCACACGATGGGTAGCACATGCCCTCCCAACACACGCAGGCTGCCCCTCAGACACATGGCCCCAGGGTCTTCTCCTGAAGTTCTGCTAATTGACAGCTTCTTATGAGTTCTGAAAGAGGAAAAGAAAATAATAAAAAATGGAGGCCCTATCAGAAAGATGCCCTATTATGCCATAGTTATATAAAGGGAAGAAATCACAGCCGGGCTGAGTCTCAGCCAACGCGGAGGACTGGGCAAACCAGGTCCCAGCTTTGGCATGATGTTCCAAATGGGGAGTCGGCAGGGCCAAGCAGGGACTCTGGCAATAAACACAGAGTGTGTTCTTGCAAGATTATTTGGGCGGCAGGGACCTGGCAGGCCCAGCCACCGGGGATACCGCCATGGGTTGGGAAGGTCAGAAAAAGAGGAGCTATGTGCTCTGTAAAGGCATATTCACTTGTCAGAATGGGCTGTTGCTGCATATGGGAATGTGTGCCCAGCCTGGCACCACCAAGGCAGAGGCACGAGCTGGCTTCCCTGCAAGAACCTGCCCAAGACCTGCGTTTAAAAAAAAAAAATCCTTTTATGCCAACATTCACCTTCCCTTCCAACCGCATGAAAAGGAACATTTTATCCTGGTAGACTGAACTAGAGCAGGTTACATACCTCCTTGTGCCTCAGTTCCTTCAGCTGCAGAATGGAGCTAACATACTACAGTATTGACTTCATAAAGTGGTTGGGAGCATGACATGAGTTAATGTAATATGTGCAGGATGCTTAGAGCTAAAACTATCGTGACTGTTCCTGTATCTTGTAAAATGATGAGGATAGTCCATACTCAGCTTGATCATGTATTTGGTTTTAGCTTTGCCATCACACATCAAAAACCCAGAGAGCTAGATCAGCCCCTTCTTTGCTACAAAGCATCATACTCCTTGACATTGGACACTTCTACCACACATTATTGCCTTACCTGGAGATGAGAAGGTGAGACTGTTTGTGCAGGGCAGCAAGCAGCACCAAGCCCACAGCACCTAAAGGCATCTCTACACCCACCTGACATGAAACCTGAAATTAAACCACTAGGACAAGATCCCTCTGGCTTCAGAATATAGTCCTTAACCTTTGGACATTGCAGATCTTCTGGAGAATTTGAACAAAGCTATGGAGCCACCAACACCCCTTCACACATATGCACACACAAATTCAAATATGCATATACGTGAATCCCTTTATAATGTGGCATACAGTTTCAAGCACTCAGAGACTGTCTAAAATCTTGCCAATTTAATAGAGCTTGGTTTAAGGTCAATGCATTGAATACATAGCTATGTAACTAAATTTGACAGTTTTCTTAAATAGCAAGTATTTTTGAGAATTTTTTTTTACAATGAGCAAAGAAGTGGACATTGAATGTTGCAGATTATCTTATAAGGATAAGAATGAAAACAATGAGTAGAGAATTGCCCTCAGTTTTACTCTGCCATGCCTCCCTAATCCAGGATGGACAGGGGCTCTCATTGCCCATTGGTGAATCAAGAACGTCTCCTTTCTGTGATCACAAAACTATGACTGGCACCTTAAGCAGGACTTTGCTGGCTCATGCCACTCAACTGCCAGCATTCCCGAGTCACCGGAGACTCACAGGTGACACTGCTAATGTGTCCACCCATGCTAAGATGGCTCCTTTTTTTCCTACTCAGTGAAGGGAAGGAGAGAGTTCTACTAAGAAACTACCATATCTCCACCCCAGTCCAGCCCCAGCCTCAATTCAAGAGCACTACACCCTTCAAGGGCATTACCACATCCTTGTAGATTATTAAATTCTCCCTTCCTGGGATGGCCAGGAGATTAGGGCAAAATCTTTAAATGAGTTCTGGAGTAAAAACCACTGAAACCCTATCTTCTGTGCTTTCTCCTCACCTACAGAGCCCAGAAAATAAATCAGTTGGGTACTCACAGCAAGTTTCCCCAAGTAATGTGTGTTTGGAAAAAAAAAAACACGAGCATTTTGGACTCTGCAGCTTCCCACAGTTTTTTTTCCCTCTGAAAAGGACACAGTAGGTAGCCCACAGAAGTAGAAAATCTTGCGTTGAAGCCTGAAAATCAATTTTCTCTGCAGCTCTGAGCCCACATAAGGAAGGCTCTCCATGCCAGGATCTCAGCCCTGCACACAGAGGATGTATTATTCTGTTCTCATGCTGCTAATAAAGCATACTGAGACTTGGTAATTTATAAAGGAAAGAGGTTTAATTGACTCACAGTTCCACAGGGCTGGAGAGGCCTCAGAAAACTTACAATCATGGTGGAAGAGGAAGCAAACACATCTGTCTTCCCATAGTGGCAGGAGAGAGAAAAATAAGAACCAAATGAAGGGGGAAGCCCCTTATAAAACCATCAGTTCTTGTGAGAACTTACTTACTATTCACAAGAATAGCATGGGGAAAACCATCCCCATGATTCAATTACCTCCCACCCGGCCCCTCCCATGACACATAGGGATTATGGAAACTACAATTCAAGATGAGATTTGGGTGGGGACACAGCCAAACCATATCATTCCACGTCTGGTCCCTCCAATTTCATGTCCTCACATTTCAAAACACAATCATACCCTTCCAACAGTCTCCCAAAGTCTTAACTCATTCCAGCATTAACCCAAAAGTACAAGTCCAAAGTCTCATCTGAGAGGAGGCAAGTCCCTTCCACCTATGAGTCTGTAAAATCAAAAGCAAGTTAGTTAGTTCCTAGATACAGGGAGGTATAGGCACTGGGTAAATATACCTGTTCCAAATGGGATAAATTGGCCAAAATAAAGGGGGTATAGGCCTCATGCACATCCAAAATCCAATGAGACAGTAATTAAATCTTAAAGCTCCAAAATAATATCCTTTGACTCCATGTCTCATATCCAGGTAATGCCAATGCAAGAGGTGGTCTCCCAAGGCCTTGGGCAGCTCCAACCCTGTGGCTTTGCAGGTTACAACCTCCCTCCCAGCTGCTTTCACAGGCTGGCATTGAGTGTCTGCAATTTTCCAGATGCATGGAGCAAGCTGTCAGTGGATCTACTATCCTGGGGTGGCAGGATGGCAGCCCTCTTCTCATAACTACACTAGGCAGTGCCCCACTGGGGACTCTTTGTGGGGGCTCCAACCCCACATTTCCCTTCTTTACTGCCTTAGCAGAGGTTCTCCATGAGGGCTCTTCCCCTGCAGCAAACTTCTGCCTGGACATCCAGGCATTTCCATATATTCTCTGAAATCTAGGCAGAGGTTCTCCAACATCAATTTTTTACTTCTGTGCCCCCTAAGCTCAACACCACATGAAAGCTGCCAAGGCTTGGGGCTTGCACCCTCTGAATCCGTGGCCCAAGCTGGACCTTCACTCCTTTTAGTCACAGCTGGAGCAGCTGAGACACAGGGCACCAAGTCCCTAGGCTGCACACAGCAAGGGGCCCTGGGCCCAGCCCATGAAACCACTTTTTCCTCCTAGGACTCTGAGCTTGTGATGGGAGGGGCTGCCCGCTAAGGTCTCTGACATGCCCTGTAGACATTTACCCCATTGTCTTGTTGATTAACATTCAACTCCTTATTACTTATGCAGATTTCTAAGCAGACTTAAATTTCTCTCCAGAAAATGGGTTTTTCTTTTCGTCATCATCAGGCTGCAAATTTTCCAAACTTTTATGGTCTGCTTCCTCTTGAATGCTTTGCCACTTAGAAATTTCTTCCACCAGATATCCTAATCATCTCTCTTAAGTTCAAAGTTCCACAGGTCTCTAGTGCAGGGGCAAAATGCCACCAGTCTCTTTGCTAAAGCATAGCAAGAATCATCTTTATTCCAATTCCCAAGAAGTTCCTCATCTCCATCTGAGACCACCTCAGCCTGGACTTCATTGTCCACATCACTATCAGCATTTTGGTCAAAGCCATTCAACAAGTCTCTAGGAAGTTCCAAACTTTCCCACATTTTCCTATCTTCTTCTGAGCCCTCCAAATGGTTCCAATCTCTGCCTGTTACTCAGTTCCAAAGTTGCTTCCACATTTTTGGGTATCTTTACAGCAGTGCCCCACTCTCTGTGATACCAATTTACTGTATTAGACTGTTCCCATTCTGCTATGAAGAAATACCTGAGACTGGGTAATTTATAAAGGAAAGAAGTTTAATTGACTCACAGTTCCACAGGACTAGGGGAGGTCCTCAGGAAACTTACAGTCATGGCGGAAGGGGAAGCAAACATGTTCTTCTTCACAGGGCAGCAGGACAGAGAAGAATGAAGGCTGAGAAAAGGGGGAAGCCTCTTACAAAACCATCCGATCTGGTGAGAACTTACAATCATGAGAATAGCATGATTCAATTACCTCACACCAGGTCCCTTCCATGACACGTGGGGATTATGGGAACTACAATTCAAGATGAGATTTCAGTGGTGACACAGGCAAACCATATCAGAGGGGAAGTGGAAAGCTGCTGTTTCTCAGCCATTGCTCAAGGAAGCCCACAGACAAGATGGGTAAAAACAGAGCAGGGATAGAAAAAAGTTTTACCTTTCATATAGAATGTTGCTCCTGCTGGTGTCAACACTCATGTTTCTCTCCACATGTGAAGCAAAGAACCATGTAAAGAGCATGGATGCCTGAGGACTTTCTAAGAATAGCTGTGATTTCAGAAAGTCGGGTGAAATATCCAATGTGGGAATCGAGTCAAAGGGATTCCTGAGAGGTGTTCCATGCGTGTGCTAATGTGTGCCCAGACATGTTCAAGAACACACATCTGGTGTTGCACAAGTCTTTGTATATCTGTATGCATATTTGCATTTGCACTTGAATTTTTTAAGGAATTGATGTCAGTGCCTATTTGTATATGTTCAACTCATATAGTGAGAGAAGAAAACAGTTTTGTACAAAGCAATAGCAGTATTTGTACAAAACAATAGTACTATTTTTCAGCCAGAAACATCCCACCTTCTCTTTCCTGTTCCTTTATATTCACCTGGGGAAAAAAAAAAAAAAAAAAACACCACTGGAAACACCATTCAATGGTGGGGGAGGACAGCTTTTATAAAGAAATCAGAGCATTATCATATAAATCAGAGGTCAGAAAACTAAGACCTATGTGCCAAATCCAGCCTACTCTTTTCTCCCAACAATGGCAGAGTTGAGTAGCTATGATAGAGACTATAGAGACCACTCTAACTGGCTCCTTGCTGAAGTTTGCCCACCCTGCCATTGGCCTTGTTCTTTCAGTATCCACCCCATGCTCCACCAGTTATCTCACCATGGCTGAAATTGACACAATGGAGCAGAGTCCTGTGTGCCCAACTTTTTGACTTAGAACCTAAGTTCAACAGCAGAAGTTCCCTAAAAGCTGCCAGGGTGTCCTTTCTTCTGTGGTCCATGTTTTAGTGGAGGAGCTGTGACTTCCTCCTTCAACTAGTGGAAATGCCACAGGTAGGACATTGACTTCCAGAGGAGGCACAGACTTTAGCTAACCATGAAACTCTGAACCCATTATTTAACATCTACGGGCCTGTTGGTTGGATTAATAATTGCCAGGTCTTGCAGTCACTGCTTCTCCTGGAGAAGGTGAGGTGAATTCTGTTTCTAAGGATATGCTTTTTCTAAGAATATGCTTCCTTTGGATCAACGTAAATAATCCTCCCTTTCCCATCTGTCTTGAAGACACAACTGAGTACCACTTAGAATCCTGGAGATCATTGCTTTAGATTCATAAAGTAACCCTGGAGGAGTAGTTTAAATACATAGATCATCATGACTATGATTCTTTGCACTAGTTTTTGTCTGTGATGCTGATAGACCTCTCCAATCACCACAGCCTTTGGAGTTAAGTAAACCCAGAGAGACAAATACAGGTATACTTGGTCCTGATGCTTATAAGCTCTCACTGGCTTATGACTCAGAGGAATCAAAGACAAAATATTTGGGATGGCGAGCAGGCATAAATTAATGTAGAGCACATACTCTACTATTGGGAAAACCACTTTTTTCTTCTGAGTAGACCAAGATCCCGAAGCCAGTTTTTGCTGGTCACTTAGCTAAGAACCTGAGGTATGTCATGGAACCTTGTGTATTTGGCTTCCTCAAAGCTTAAATATGGCATATGACCAGCTTTCCTCTTTGCCATTAAAAGATTCCAGCACATAACTTGTATAAGCCTTGAGCTTCTCACCCTAGAGACGCTAAAAACCAAATCAAGGCCAGCAATATCTTCGCCAACCAGCTCTATTCCAAAGTTTCAATCAACATGCAGCTAGATCTTCCTTAATGTTAAGAAATAACAGACACAGGGTCAAGCAATGTTCTGGAGAAGACAGAGGAGAAGAATTTGAGTGGTCCAGCAGGAAGTATGATCTCATCCTCTGGCCACACCCTGCTTTTAAAACGGTGATTCCTCCTACTCCTTCCACATCTGAAGCTTGGGGTATTCTGATGGGGTAGTCTGATGCTGCACACTCTGTCTTTCTTAAAGAGACGTTTATTATGACACATGATGTGAGTAAAGATCAGAACCATCCACTGTACTCTGATTTGCTACAACTGCCACTTGCAATACCTGCTTCTCATTTATACGCAAAATGAAACTCTCCAGCATGGCACCAATACCATCAAGTACCCTTCCAGAAGAGAAGGATTCGCTTTCACCACCTCTCTGCTCAGCTCTGATAGGAGGCTACCTGAGAGCAGAGGCTCCAGACCCTACCCTGAGGCTGCCTTAGAAAGCAGAGAATACACACTTGGCAGTCATTTAACAAAGGGAAGAGCTGTTCCTCAGAGCCTGCTGATGACTGAGGAGGAGCAGGCACCCTCCATTGCTGATGTCCTCAAAACAACTGACAGGGTGAGATAAATCAGTTTGTGTACTTCCTTCCCTCTCCCCGCCCCTGTGGGAAACAGGGAGTCCTTGCCTTTGAGAAGATGAGTCGAAGAGAGGCGAAGGGAGATGGATGTGTCCTAGGCACACTGATACTTCAGTGTAAAGTTAAGAAAACAGAGGCCAGGGGGAAATGAGGCAAGCACTTTGTTAGAGAAAAGGTTTCCTGTGGCATGAAACTGTATTTACAATAATATACCTTAAAGAGATGCAAACACTCTAATCCAATTGCATGAGCCCTTCCACAGGCAGGCTTCCTAGAAAGCACTGCACGTGCAAGGCTTGGTTCGCAGAGTCACGCAGGGGCTGCATCTATCTGGGTACTCTGGCTCTGGATATAGGGGTGTTCCTTGTCACAGAATGATGGGGCCCCTGAGCCACCTAAAAAGGAAGCACATGAGGAACTCTGGGCAGGCCAGGGTTAGCTGTCTGGGTTTGGCAAAGAGCAAAGGAAGCGTCATCCAGTCAGGAATCAGGTTATTGGCACAGGGACACATGCAAGCTAAGCTGTGTGTGGTCAGCCGCGGTTTCCAGAAAGCAGTCATGGATCCTACCCTCATTCTGCCATCTATGTGTGTCTGAGAAGTCACTGGATGTCCCTTTGCTCCCATTTCTCTCTCAGTGCAATCACAGACAGGAATTCTCCCCCACCCCAAATTCCTCTCCTGGAAATATTTCTGAGGATATTCTTTGGCCTGCTCTGTGAAGGTGGCATCATTCTTACTGCAGATTTTCTTTCTGAGCTAAATCAACCTTTCCCTGTTAGTACAGTCATGTGTCACTTACCAATGGGTATATGTTCTGAGAAATGTGTCCTTAGGCAATTTTGTCATTGTGTGAACATCATAGAGTAGACCTACACAAACCTAGATGGTACAGCCTACTACATGCCTAGGCTATATGGTACAACCTATTGATCCTAAGCTGCAAGCCTTACAGGATGCTGCTGTATGGAATACTGTAGGCCATGGGGTCCAACTGTTTGGCTTCCCTGGGCCACGCTGGAAGAAGAATGGTCTCGGGCCACATATAAAATACACTAACACTAACAATAGCTGATGAGCTAAAAAAAAAAATTTAAAAAAAGGTCCATTCATAATTTTCATAATATCCGCCACCAAAGAGAAGCAAAAAAGTCATCACATTCAGAGGGTTGGACACAGCTGCTTAGGCAATTATAGCACAACTTTATTTGTGTATCTAAACATACCTAAGAATAGAAAAGGTAGAGCCAAAATACAGTAGATTGATTTTTAAAATGGTACATCTGTTTAGGGCACTTACCACGAATAGAAATTGCAAGACTGGAAGTTCCTCTGGATGAATCATTAAGTGAGTGGTGAATGAACATGAAGGCCTAGGATATTGCTATACACTGTAGGCCTTAGAAACACTGGACAATTAGGTTATATGAAATTTATGAATTTTTTTCTTTCTTCGATAATAAGTTAACCTCACTGTAACTTTTTTTCTGCAGCTTCATAAAGCTTATAAACTTTTAATATTTTTAACTTTTTGATTCTTTTGTTAAGAACACTTAGCTTAAAACACATTGTACAGTTGTATAAAAATATGTTCTTTTTTCATATCCTTATTCTATAAACATTTTTCTATTAAGCATTTTTTTAACTTTTAAACTTTTTGATTAAAAATGAAGACAAAAACACACACATTAGCCTAGGCCTAGACAGGGTCAGAATCATCAAGACACCAGCAGGCGATAGGAATTTTTCGGCTCCATAATCATCTTATGGGACCAGCGTCATATATGTGGTCCATCCTTGAACAAAATGTCATCATGAGGTGCACGACCATATTTCCCTTCCAGCTTAAGGTCAGGCCACGTGCAATCAAAACATGCCCTAAATAAAGCACCCCCCAAGGCCATTGTGGACAATTGATTTCTCACACATTTGGAGGATGATTGGCTTTGGATTCTAATTTAATACTTGTACATGTTCCTGTTTGGGGGTGATGAGGAATAGGGTGCAGAGGAATGAAAGAGGAAGGCCCTAAAAGGCAGAGGATGAGGCTGGGGGAAATGGAAACAGAAAAAAGCCAGTCGGAGCTGAGTCAGCTGAAACATAACTGGGATTAAACTCATAAAACCAGTGAGAACTCACTTGAAAACACACCAAGATTTCTCCTGGAGAAGACACCACTGACTCAAGGGTGATCATTTTTAAGAACCTGGAGATGATGTGCTGCTATCGAGGCTATTAAAACATAACATCCATTCATTGACGGCCTTCTGGTCTTCTGCCAAATACTCCCTTGATTATAGCTCCTGTCCTGGTTTCTTTGAGATGCCCAGTCTTCTATAAGCCCATCTTAGCCTTTCAGTTATGTCATCTCATTTGGAGCTGTACTATTTGTACCCTTCCTCTCTCTCATGATGAGTTCCATGGAAAGGCCATTGGAGGAGCTGTCAGAACTGGGCTGATCCAGGCCAGGCTCACAGCCTGCTGATGACCTCCATGTGACCTCTACAGCCTGTGTCCTTCACATGCTGGCCTAAGGCCCCACCACAGTTTTAAGGTATACATCTGTTTAATGGAGAGAGTCAAGTCATTCTGGAGATGACAGGAAATCAGAAGATGAAAAATACATTCTTTGCACTTTGGAGTAGGAGATGTTGAAAAGAAGAGTTTAGAGTCTTTCCATGGAGACAATAAATAATACCCAGGGGTTCACTGTAGTAGGCTTCAGGCCAGAAGTGCAGGAAGATCTTCTTAGCTCACATTCAAGCCCAAAAGCTGGAGCAGAGAGGAAGAGCAGAGGAAGGAGTTCCTCAGGGCCTGCATACCCAGAGGCATCTATCGTATTAACCCCTAGATCATTGATTACTTCAGAGTGCCAAGTCAGCCAGCTTTTAAGGTCCCTTGAAATAGAAACACACATACAACAAGGGTATGTATTGATCAGTTGCTGAAAACATTATGTCCCAGGGCTGCAGGAACCTAACCCTGTATTTCCCCTAGGGGCAATGGTTCAGTATTCACTAATTCCATATTCACGGTGTCCTTAGCATCATAACTCCTGCAAATGCTGAGATGCAGCTGTGTTTGATGCTGATGCAGGAAGTAGGGAATAGCATGGGGGACTTTGTGTTTAAGTAACGAAAGAATAGAAGACAGGGTTGGACAGGTACACTGAGTCCTGACCATAAAGGATTGTAAAGTCAACAGAAAACACAGGACTAAATAGGTCAGCTCATTCAGGAAGGTCTCTAACCACGCATTCAAGAAGGCAAAAGCTGCTCCCAGAACCCTGTGCAGGTTGCCTCTACCTAAGTACAGAAATGTGATCATTAATTAATAAGCACATTGGAAACCTAGGCAGACAGACCCACAGTTAAGGGGCCATGGAGACCCAGAGTGGGTGTCTCAAGGGGCTGCCTCTTTGCAGTCCAGTTTATGACTCTTCAGGGAAGGCTAAGCTACAGCCTTGTTATTTTCCTTCTGGGACTAAAAGGAGAACTGTAGTTTCCTGCCCTATTAAGCCAGTGCCTTTCATGATCATTAAAATACCTTTAAATACTTCATTTCTCCCCCTTAAAGTTTTCCAGGCATAAGGAAAACTCTCCTTCCACATAACCTTGCTCCAAAATAACAAACACATGATGCCATTTGAATTTGGCTTCTCTCTTCTTCCCTTTTGGGTGTTCAGAAATAGCCACTTACAAACACATGAATGCATTTGCCTCGGTGGTAAATTTGTCTTATGTGTCGATTTCAGCAGGCTACTCTCTGCAGATGTACACATGTGTGCTGATTTCCTGCCCTCCAAAATTATTTTTCTGGTTGTGGACATATGGTGAGCAATAGTTGGAATAGTTATTCAGGGTGCAGGCTCCCCTCTGGGATCTGTGGGATAAATCTTGCTCCTTCTGTCAAGTCAAAATCACCAAGAATGTGTTGAGCACTGGAATGGGCAAAATATTTTAATCATGTATGCATGCTTAGTGCCATACTCATAATAAAATCATTACAGTCCTCTGTGGTATGTTAATGGTCAGATGGATAATAATCAATGAAGCAGCTCACCATTTTTAAGAGCTTAACTATGATCCAGGTACTGTTCTATGTAACTTGCAGGTATTAAATAATTTAATTCTTATAACAGTCCTTGAAAATAATTGTTGTTATTATTATCACCATTTTATACATAATGTAACCAGGGCAGAGAGTTTGTCTAGGGAAGTAGCTTGTATAAATCTGAAATTTGAAGGATGGATAGAATTCTGATTTGGATAATTTACTGACATATTAATTTGAGTTTGAGTTTCATTCCTTGTATACTCTCCTCCTTTTTGCTGGAAATCCTATGTATCCTAAGAAAGGGGCCAAGCTCTTGGTGCTTTCTTGGCCCTAGAAGGTTTGTATAGCGGAGTGGAAGCTGACAATTCATAAATGCCCCCCTTTCCTGCTTTCCATGAAAGCCTAAATTCACTAAACAAGTTGTGGCGAAACCCTAGGGGCACAGGGAGAAATGAGTAGCTTGGAGGGAGCCAGAGAGAGGAAAAGAAGCCTCCAAGACTGGGACAAGGAGGAGATGAGCAGAGACTGGGAGGGCAGAGACCCATGCTTCCCTCCCCAGCAGTGCAAGAACTCAGAAGAAAACAGAGCTGTCCTTCCTGTGGTGTTCTCAGGAAGGTTTGGCCCTGGGGCAGTGTGGCCTCAGGTCAATATTTCACATGCTCAGCAAAGCCTGAGAGTGAGAGAGTTATCCTTCTTCAAGGAGGACATGGGGTTGGAGAGAGAGGAGATCTGAAGCACCACATTGGACCGAAAGCCAGAGGCCCTGTTTCCATTTTTCAGCCACAGGGAGGCTAGCAACTTCCAGAAAGGAGGATAAAGATGTAATAATCACTGACATTGAATTCACTGTCATTCTGGGGAGACAGGGGATTGCAGTCAGAACCTGTTTGATTTAAAGAAAGTTTTGCAGACCTGAGCTTGTGGTGTGAGAGTCTTCTTCCCATTATAAAATGTGTAGAGAAGGTTTCAGATAGGAGGAAGGAGAAACATGAGTGACTGAAAGAACAGTCAAGGCTGGAGAGGCAAATGGAAGTAGAGAACGTCCAGGCAGGTGCAAGATCAGGGTCCATGAGGACAGAAGGCACAAGATTTGAGCAGAGCCCAAGAGCAGCTGGACTGGAATGGGAAGTGGTGGCCTGCTGGGAGATAAGGCTGTGTCTCCAGGCTCAGCCAGCCTTGAACACGAGGCCAGGGGGGTCTGGGCTTACCTGCTGGCTGTGTCCATTCTGTTTCCTCTCTTACAAAACCGCTTCCCTTTGTACCTACCCAATCCCTCCTCAGCACCCTCCTCCTTACCCCCAAGAAGCCTCTCACGGTTATTCAAGGCTTAATCCAATCACCACCTCCTATGCAAAGTTTGCCCTGACCCATTTGAGAAACCTGTCCCCTCCTCCCCCTGTGCTCATGCAACCATCTGCTGGAGGGTGATCTAGTATGTTTTCATATTGCCCTCTTCTGCTGTAAACTTCTTGATGGCAGGAACCATGTCTTTTTCACATTTGTGTCCTCCTGGTACCTGGTACCAGGGTGCTAATACTCTTTGGGTGATGGTTGCACAGCTGGGGTAGGACAGGGTTGGCCTGTCAACCCTGGTTGGGAAATGTCAGGATATGTTGTGAGCATCTCATGTCCCTTGTCCTCACCCTGCCCACTCTGCCCATGGTGCACCCGAGCCCAGCATGCTGGTCACTCCTCTGGGCTAATGCTGGAAGTGCTGCTGGAAGGCCAGAACCCAACCTGGCTTGGGAAATAACGCAATCATCCATTGTCTCTGGCATCATAACATAGAGCAGGACCCAGAGGGAACGAGATAGAGGAGGTGTAAGTTCTAACATAGAAGGGAGGAAAAAACAACCGAACTTTAAGATATAGAACTCGGAGTATGAGGGCAGCTGATCACCACACTGGACCCTTCAGAGCTCAGAGTGTCAGAAGAGAAAGAGGCCACATAGCAAACAAAACAAATGAAAGGAAAGGACAACAGACATTCCCTTGAATTCACTCTTCCCATTGACAGACTCATAGGGGATGAGGGCAAGAAGATAATTCCTAGATGCAGAACATCTTCTCCTCAAGTCAGAGGATCGGGGGAGCAGGAGAACATGGCCCAGGGTCATTCAAGGAGAACCAGTCCTTCAGATAACTCCAAAGAGGAAATCAGCCCTGAAGCAGTCCACTTAGATCTGGAAACAACACAAGACTATGATTCAGGGGAATTGGGCTTCTATTTTGACTCAGCCACTAACTGGCTGTGTGACCTTGGGCAACTCGCTCTACCTCTCTGGGCCTCCATTTCCTCATTTATAAAATGAGTGGTTTGAACTAGAGGAAGATGATTACTATGGCCCTTTTTAGCCCTAAGGCTCTAGGACATTATTTATTCCCCATCACAGCTGTGATGTGACAGCTTTCTGAGGCTTTCCTTCCTCATTTGGTCCAACATCTAGATGGAGAGGAAAAACTCACACATTATAATCCAGATGTATTTTGGGAAATGGTATAAGCAAAGCATCCAAGACACTTATCAAGAAAATCTGAATATCAACCATCAAGCCCTAGGCCAAGGGGAGCTGGGAATATTTCAGGGCACATTAACCACTGTTGTGGTAAGTAATTATGCACATTGACTTTGAGTCTGTTTCAACCGTCACATCTCAGAGTGTAATTCCTGCACTGTTTCCAGGGAGGGAGGGATCCGTGCAAGTGCTAACGAGTGTTCCAGAGTCTGAACTGTGGACTGGTAATAGCTGGCATTTCAAAAATGTAGGCTTTTGTTTCTTGAAAAACAGCTAAAAGCATTCAACTCCCCCATCTCTGATCCTTCTCTGAAAAAGAAAACAATAAATATGATTTCAATCCATTGTGTTAAATATCAGGATGCACACACAGAGTCTCTGGGATCCAGCATTGAGTAAAAACCCATCTGCGAGGCCAACAACTTACAACAGGCAGAAAGAAGAGCATTAACACTTTCAGGTCACTCGAGAAGTGAGAGCCCAATGGTCACTTACTCTAAACACGTAAAGTGAAAGAAGATCTGATGCATAGGTGTGATGTTATTTGAAAATAGAAACCAGTGAAACATACTGGAAGAATTTGACAGATTTAAATGTGTTTTCTCCTAAAATAATTTATCTCTGCAGAGATACCCTTCATTGAAACTGCTGGCCCAACTGATCTAAATCCTTACTGTTTGCCATTTCCTCAAAACCTATCCATGTCCCAATTAAAATCTCTGCGGCAAACGCAATGAGATATGTCTGAGCAATTTTCATAAAAGAGTAAAAGAAGGAAATCACACAGAATTTTTTCAATGTACTAGATGGCATGAAGGGAAAGAGTGATATGGTTGTAGGGGCTATTGGAGAATGGGTGCTTTTAGGTTTTTCTTCTTATTAAAACTTGGCTTTATTGGATTGGACAGTATATCCAAGCAATCAATCATACTATTTACCTGCAACCTACTAAGGAAAATAGTTAATAATACAGCTTTGTGGAGGTAGAGTTTGGACATATAGTATAAGGCCTTGCCACTCAAAGTGGGTCTCTGTACCAGAGCATCTCAGCATCACCAGGGAGCATGTCAGAAATGCAGACTGGCAGGTCCCTGGATCTCTCCGCAACAATTGCAAACATGTTATTCCTTTTCTGCGTTTGATCCTTCAGGTACCTGGAGATGCCTCTCAAGATTGCTCTTAGACTGGACATCCTTTACAAAGACATGGTTGTCAGCTCCAGGCCAAGACCACCAAAGAGAAATCCTTTGGTTGGCTGTGTGACCTTAGGTACATCACTGAACCTCAGCTTATGTGTCAGTTTTCTTATTTCTAAAATGGGAGGAGGAACAGGGCCTATCTGAGATGGATTTGTGAAGATCAAATACAGTAATCCATATGATACCCCTAGTCAGCATTTGACACATAGTAAATGCTCAGTGAAGGCCAGCTGTTATTATTCCCAACTCAAATGTTCTTTGTTCACAGAAGGAATCAGGAAAAGGGTAGTGGTTAACTTGTCTCTTTAAGAGGGTGGACAGAACTCAAATCAGTCAAGAGGGGATTCTGGAGGACAGCAGACCTGAAAGCACCAAGTCTCCAAGTTAGAAAAGTTGGAAATGGGACACAGTAAAGGGGCCAGTTAGACTAGAACAAGAGTTTTGTAGGCCAGTGAGAGACAAAGCTGGAAAATAAGTAAAGGATAGGTGATGTTTTCCAAAAGCAGGACTCTGAGGAGGGAGGATTGGGAGCTGGACAGTATGAGACCAACAGAGGTACCTCTTTTTTTTTTTTGAGACGGAATCTCACTCTGTTGCCTAGGCTGGAGTGCAGTGATGTGATCTCAACTCACTTCAACCTCCGCCTCCAAGGTTCAAGCGATTCTCCTGCCTCAGCCTAGAGGTACCTTTTAAGTTTAAGGTAAGGTACCACTTTAAGGTAACCACTAAGGAGTGGTTGGAGGAAGGCACAGGGGTCTAATGTCAGAAGGTGCATATTGTGCACTCTGTATTAGGTAGAACCATGTGATGTTGCTGATATTATGTTGTTTTTGACCCAGAGGAACAGCAATTTCATTTGGTTTAACATAATGTAAGCCCCTTCCTTACTTTTGTTGGGAGGGTAAGGGGGAAAAAAATCTACCTTTTGCATCCGTCCAGCACTCAGAATTGCTCAGAGGTTGAACAAGCCTATAGAAAAGAGATCTGGAAACTGTGACAAGATGTGTTGAGTAAACAAATGCCCTTGTTAATTTCTGGATGTCCCAGGACCCTGGCATCACTGTGGTCAGAAGCAGCTGTGTCCCACAGTTCTGCCTTCTGGAAGCATCCACAGTTTACTGCTGATGTAGGCAATCCAGAACCTTCTTGCCCTCTGCCCAATTCCAACACTTGCCTGGGCTTTAAATGTTAGTTTTGCATAGAGCATTTGCAATCATTTGGGTGAAAACTAAATTAAAAACAAAACAAAACAAAACCCCCAGCTCTTTTGACAGCCTGAAAGGACAGTTTAGGAAAAGGCGAGAGGGAAGCAATTTATTAAAAAGAAAAAAGAAATGCTAACAAGATATTTCAAAATAATGGCAGCTGCATGCACTTACAGTATGTGAGGGCCTCGTTTGAGCCCATTTTGGTAACGATGTGAAACTGCTGCGTTCTCTTTCCCAGGCATATGTTTAAAGTGCCCTGCAAATGATTTCATGTTGGATCGGGCTTCATTACTCACAGTTCATATTCGGTCTAAATTACAGTAAATGTTATTTCAAGGTTTACAAGTTAATTATTATAGTATAGTATTTACTCCATTATATAGTAATTACTGCAGTATCTAATGCCTAAAGGGTTTTCCCCCTTATATGAAGGACGGAGAATATTTTAGAGTGTTTTCAAGCAGAACAGGGCTCACTGGGGTGTGTATATGTGTATGCGGAGTTGGGGAGCTAGGAAGATTGTACCCAGAGATTTGGATGCAAGTGCTCATATCTTTAGGATGCAGGGCTACAGGGATCACTAGTAGCCAAGCTTGCTTTAGCCCATCCAGGAAGTGGTGTGCTCTGTTATTAGGGGCTAAGGGGATGGTGCTGACTCTCATAGATATGCAAGATCCCAGCCTCACCTCCTGCATGGCATAACTGTACAGCACAGAGCAAAAAACCCCTTTGACTTACAGATGAACAGGCAATGGTTGGGTCTGCTCATCTCTGAGAGGCAGCTGCCTGAGAGACCTCAGTGGCAATTAGGCTCCCCCTTTTCTTTTGGCTTGTTGTAAGAATTTCAAGGATCTCCTTACAAACACCCTGCCTGCAAATGCAAATGCCCTGCCCTCTTGCCTGCTGCAGAAGGGTCAGCTATGAGACACCAGATAGCCCCCAGCTCTGGGCTACATTTACACCTCTTTGCTCCATTCCAGCCTAGATTCTTTGTTCTGGCTGCCAAACCCAAAATGGATTCCATAAGCATCCTGCTTCCCAAATGTTGGTCCAAATGGCAGGGAACCCTAGGGGCCTGACAGGCAGTTGAGCTGAATGACAGGCTTGGGATGAAACTTCACACTTTTGTCCTCTGACTGCAGCAGAGCCTGGGCTCATCAGCCAAGCCTGGGCTCCTGCAATGTCCTCTCCTCCACTGTAGCCCGACCACTAGTACCTTGATAAGTGCTGAGCAGATTGAAAAAGAGAATTTGGCAATTGCAGAAACCTCATTGTCCCCAGACCTTGGCTCCTCTTCAGGAGGAGAAAAAACAGTGGACTGGTCAGTCCACCTGCCTTGAGTGAGCACCTACTGTGCATTAGCCCTGAGGTTGGCACGGTTGGAAGAAGGAAAGCTTCCAGTGCACACTTCCTCCTACTACAATTTTGCTGCTCAGCCTTTTCACTTTCAGAACAGGCAGAGGCAAAAGAGATGAAAGGGGAGAATTTGCTGGTGTGTTTTCTCCAGAAGTGCTCTTGAGACACATGCTTGTTGGCAGGTGGGGGGCAGGAACCTAAAGCCGGAGGATTGAAGTGAAAATGATTTTGGAGCCATCTCCTAGAGCTCACAGATGGGTTTCTAGTTTTAGAAAGATCCCTCCTGCAGTAGAGCAGGACCTGCCCTCCTTGGACTGGCTTCATTAGATGGGCCCCAACAGTTGTCTAAATGACAGCTGTTTGGCCGATGAAAATTGAAGGATGACTTATCCATCAAGCTTGTTCCCTCCTTGCCCTGGTCCTTAATCACTGCAGCAGCTGCAGCTCCTCACCTCATTCAGGTATGCCTCTCTCTCTACTTCTCATGCTTCCAGTCTAGTAATCTGTTTAAAATGTGCATCGGATCACAGATAGCTGCCCTGCTTGAATCGTGCCAAGGGTTCCCATGACCTCACGGCATAGATCCCACTTCCTTGAAAGGCCTTCAGTGCCTCAGGTGGCCTGGGCTCTGCCACACCTCCTTCCTTTCCTCCGCCATTTTCTTTCATGTGTTTTTTGTTTGTTTGTTTGTCTGTTTTAAAGGTGCAGCCACTCTTGCCTTCCTTCCATCGCTTGACCCTACACCGTGCCGTTTCCCACCTCTGGGAGTTTATTTGTGCTATTCTTGCCACCTTCTCTGCCTCACACCTCCCTGATCTCTCTTTGGGGCTCTCTGACCTGTCCTTCAGATCCCAGCTCAGGGACCTCCCCTTGCATCTGGACCAGGGCAGTTCGCTGTGGTTCCTCCTCCAGGGACTTCCATAAATCTTCGTTATTAACCCTTATCATTCTCTATTGTGTTCAGCTGCTAAATATGGTTCTGCTTGGCTAGACCATAAGCTCTGTGAGGGCAGCAGTCCTTCTCACTCCTAGCAACTAGTAAAGTGATTGGCATCTAGTAAAGTAATCTTTAGCAGCTAGTAAAGTGATTGGCAATGGTAATACATATTAATTGGAAGACAATATTCTTGAATGAATTCCAAGGATCCTTAGTAGAAAAAGTAGGCAGTTTAATGTATCAACTAGGGGGAGAAACTCGGATAGTAGTAATAACTAATAGAACTAATAGGTATAAGCACTTACTATGTGACCAGCACTGTACCTTTACTTATGTTTCACTACATCCAATAGGAGATAAGTGCTCTTTTTGTACCTCTTTTACAGAAGGACAAACTGAGGTGCAGGGAGGGGCAGAATACAGTCCCAGGCAGTTGGATCCAACTTTACCCCACACTTAACCACTTGGCAAGGCTGACTCTTGCCGAGCCAGCTGCAAATGAGGAGAGTAGGCATTAGGCACACTTGGTCCTTTTCTGCTTCCACCTCCGTCTTCCACTGTCGCTCTGCAAACAAGCCCTTGTTTAATGAACATATATTTAATGTGAGAAGAGAATAAAGCCTATCAGCTCCATGATTGCTTCATACACACTCTTTTTCACTATCTGTCACATCTTTACGATGTAGTCAAAGCATTCTTGGCAGCACAGACTATTTAAAAAAAAAAAGCAGTAGCAAGTTGGGCAGAATAAATGGTTATCAGAGGAGGGCTCACCATATTGGTCCCCACCAGTCCTGGGAGTGCTGGACTCAAGCCTGGGACCTCTGAGAAGAGGCATCTCCTCCTTTTCTCCTTGCAGGTGTCTCCTCACTATTCCCTGCCTCTCCCCCTTCCCTCCCCAAACAGTGCGTGTTCACAGGAGACACACACATAGCCACACTCGACTTGGTGTGGCCTGGAGAGCCAGGGGAGGCATGTAGCAGCCCATCTCACAAGACTCACTAGGATGGTATTAGAAAGCAAAATCCGCAGCAGAGTTTTGGAATGCAACTGTGCCCAGCCACCAGATCTGAGAGAAGGGACAGAGATTTGAGATAAGAAGGGTGGAGAGGGCCCTCCCTGGCTCCGGAGGCCTCCGTTCCTTCCCTGTTTCTGATGTTACCACCTTGCATTGCCATTTCCTTCCCCACCATGCAGGCCTCAACTAGTGCCATTTCTTCATCCCACTCTTCATTCTGTGCCAGGGACCATCTTAGCAAGCTCTGAAAGGTTCTTCTCCAATGTGACTTTATTCTGTAGAGTCTTCACTCAAACATGTTAAATTTAAATAAATATTTGTTGTTCTAAGGCACTTCACTGACCTGTCCATCAATCTAGGTTTCTTTCCTTGTCTCATATTCTTTTAACTGTGTGGCAATGAATAATCATTTCTACTGTTGAATGTAACTATTTACATGGGCATCTGGGGTTAGCCAAGACATTGCCTATCTTAAAAGAAAGCACAGGACGTCCTTCTTCCTCCATATCTGTTTTTTTTTATTGGCTCTACTTTCAGTCCATAATATCCTTGAGTGGCCCTGACCTTGGAAGACCAAGGGAAAGAGATTACACTTTGGAGTCACGATCCCCCTAGGTGTGAATACTGACCCCATCTTTCTTAGCTATGTGACCTTGGGCATGTCCCATAATCTCTTTAGTGTTCAATTCACCAAATTAAGGGACTAAGGTTCTAATTCCATACTTCACAGAGCTGGCATAAGATAGTATATGCAACGTGCTTTCCATTATATTTGGTACAGAATAAGCACTCAGATAATAGTCATTATTATTATTTATGGTGCCATGAAGCAAGGTCATATAACCAGGCACTATTCTGTTGTCCAAAGCCTGCCAGTTAGCTAGCTATTCTTGATGTCCTTTTAACATATAGAGGTTGAGCTGATATAGAATTGTATAGAAATGTATCTTCTCATATCACTGGAGTCAAAGACCATCAGGGTTGGGCTTTACAGGATAATTCAGAGAGAGAAAAAAAAAATCAGAGTGTGTATTTCCCCACACCGCAATGAAATCCATGGAGTTTCAACTCTTTCCTCCAGGCTTAATTAGGCTACATCAAAGGGGTTCTTCCAGCCACTCGGCAGTGGAGATAAATTCCATTAGTGACCCTGCTAAAACAGATGTTCTTGGGAACACTTCCTCCTGACATAACCCCTTGTCCTGGATCCGACATGTATTCCTGAGAGACACTGTATCCTCCGGAAGCCACAGCATCTCCCTAGCTGATGGGAGAGCTCCGACCCATGGCCACAGGCACGCCGTTGAACTAGGCTTTTATTTTTACAAGTTATTTTATTATCTATTTAGCCTTTCCCAATTTAATTGAAAAAAAAGATAAATAATACGAATGCCTGTGGCAAGTATTTTTATTTTTAAAAAAGAAGAATTCTGTATAACACAAGAAAAGCAGGAGGAAATATTGGCATGTGTTGTTCTTATCATCCAGCTCAACTTCTTTTGTTCGAGTGCATGGATGGGACACGGAACACTTTTCTGTTTTGTGGGTGGTAGACTTTTTTCCCCTCTTTGCCAGTGCCCATATTATCGCCGAGTCCTTAGATTCATTAGCCTAATTAATATTAAGAACATATGCATATGCAAATAAGATCCTCTTTGCCATATATTTCACTTTGTAAGACAGGCTGAAGGGTGGTTGAGTGAGTCAATCAAATGTCATAAATTGGCTATGCATAAGACCTCATTAATATTAATTGGGGCGTGGGCATTGTGCAGTAGCCCATGATGCCATTAGAGATGGGCCTCTTGCTTTAATTGTTCTAAAGGTTTTGAAAACCAAAGCCTCTGACCTGATTTAAATATGTAATCCTTCCCCCACCCCCACCAGGTAGTCTACTGAGCAGCATCAGAAAGGTATTAAAAAAATACAGAACAGAGATTTTCTAAGACAGATGGCACACAATGAGGTTAGAAAAAGTATCTTGAGATCCAACCTGCAAGAACAAAAAAAAATTGCTTGCATTGTTGTTTTCATTATCTTGCTTCTGTCATTTCATGAGCTTTGTATCTTGCAAGGAAAGAAAGAAGAGAGAAAAACTGTGAAATTAATCTTTTGCGCATGGCCTGATAAAGAAGAGACATGCTCAGACAAAAGATAGACTGGGAGAAGGTACCGTGATTGATGACTAAAGTAACGGTGTCAGAAGAGTATTATGTAAATTACTGGAGGCACACGCCATTTCAGAGAGAATGAGAGGGAGAGCGGGAAGGGGAAAAGAGGGAGAGGGAGAAGGCGAGAGAGAGTGAGGTACTGAGAGTGAGAAAAGGATTGCAGAGTCGATGTCACCAAAGAACTGGTCCCCAAACACCTATTTCTTGCCATCTTTCATCTCCTTCGACAAGCTTACCTCACATTCTCTCTGGGTTGCACTGTGCAGCAAAGGGGGTGGGGGTGGGGAAGAACTGTCAACATTAGCGTGATTCCAGTCAAGGAAAGGTTTAGGGAAAGCAGTGTCTGAAGTGAAATCATCAAGGAGGGAAGTTTCGGTTAAAGAGAAAGAAAGAGCCTGCTGGGGACTGCATGTGTCTCTCTGTGAAGCACGTCACAGGACATGGGGCCAAACGTCTGGCCACTCTCATTCTTCATGCTAGAAATGGGCTCCACGAGGCCCTGTGTCTGTTCACTAAGTATCTGGGTCTAACTACATACTTGTGTCCCATGTATGGTGTGACCACTAAACAAAGGTGGGTGGAGAAGGACTCAAAAGGCCAGGGGCCAGGAGCCATGCTACAAAATTCTCTGCTCCTTTTTTTTTTTTTTTTTTTGGCTACATTTACTTTCTAAGTAATGAAATGAAATGAAGACAAGTGTTGAAAATTGCCTCCATTTTCCTGACCGGAAGACATGCAAAGTAACTGTAGGATTATATTCAATTATGGGAATGGGCTTTGCTGCAGTGATCCTTGCAGGCCAGCTGGTCTGCAGCTCTGGCAGGTGCGTATATGAGACACACTGACAGTGTTCAAATATCTCATGCTTAGAAGCGCAGCACTGGAATCTATAGGTTCTAAAAAAATAAAAATAAACTCCTTCCAGATTCTTAGAAACTAAATCTGGAGACAACAAGATTGGTATCCAGCAAGAACTCACTAGACCAGTATTCAGCAAGAACTCACTGGACAGGTCCGTTTGTTTATAGCCAGTCCCCTGCTGACTGGAGCAACATCTGTCCCATTTGTCCGGCCTATGTGCTACTAGTGGCTACATATTTTAAATCATAGCCCTTTGACAAGTCCAGAGAGATGAAGGCTAATGTGTAAGTAGAGATTTTCTCCACACCTGTCCTCCATCCTCAGCCTGGAAGAAGGGTGAAGGAAATAAAACAAATCTCCATTCATTAAAAGCTTGGAAGGCCCCCAAGCACTATAAAGATTATGGAAAAACTATGACCCACCATGAAATTCACAGTGCAAATAATTAATTTTAAAATTTGATGAAAAAAAGCTAAAGCAAATGTTCTTAAGCACAAGTCCTGATTTTTCCCATTTTGATTATATTGGACATTTTTGAAATAGCAAATAATTGGGAGAGTGCAGAAGGTCTAGGAATAGGTGTAAAAAGGGGATTCATTTACAATCCAAAAGTTGTCTCACAAGACACTTCCTCTACTTCCAGCAGGGACACTAAAGCCTGATATAGTAGTCCTCACCCTCCTCCCTCACCCCCATCTTCCTCTGGTCCTATCTTCCTCTGACTTCATATGTTCTTACTGCCTGGCCAGTTAGCCACAATCACACACTGCTTCCTTTACATACTATTTGTCAGAAACTCTGCCAAGTGATGGATTCAGCCATTGAACAAGCCTGAACAAGACATACTTTCTCTGCTTGAATTCGTATTGCTTTCAAGGAGACAACAGGCTCCTTGTGGCTATGTCTTATAGCTCATAGCATTCTCCTCAATGGTAAGGGCAGTATGTGCTGCTGTGGGATCAGTCTTTGCTGATTGACATTGAATTAGTCAAAATCAGGCTTAGCCAGAGACCCACCTGGGCATGAAGAGTGGGCTAAGTCAGGAACCTTCCTCAGGAAGGCAAAGGACATGGAGAAAAGACATCTGCCTTCCATCAGTCCTGCTGGACAAAATTTTGTTCTTATTTTAAGAATCCTTTGACCATATGCAACAAATTCTTCTTCAAAGAAACTCAAGGGAGAAGTTTTAATTCAGAAGGAGCTCAGAGGGCTCAAGAGACGGAAGTATATTTGGGCCTCATAAGATAATGGAACTGTGGCCTGAAGAAGGGGCAAACCCCATACACTTATTCTCTCCCTAGTTCTCTCTTACTCAAGTAACACAGGAGATGGTGACTGTGATGTACATCTGTTTATTCCCCAACTCTCTCGGAAAACCTGTTGCTTTTGCTGACCTTAGTGACAGCCCATCTTCAAGGCACCCTAATGTTGGTACCATTACTATACCTCATAATAATAATATTAGCAAGCACTTGAATAGGTACTAGCACTTTACTAAGTGCACAATATATATTAAGTCATTTAACACAATCACCTCACTTTAAATTTTATCATTTATTTTATTATTTGTTTATATTATTTCTTGCTTTATGATTATTATTATCCCCACTTTACAACTGTGGATTGAGACAGAGAGGTGACATGCCCATGGCCACACTCAGGGAGATGGGGAGCCAGCATGTGAGTCCTGGCTGGTTAGCCCCAGGGGCTGTGCTCTCAGCAACTAAATTAGACTGACCAGAACCCACCAGTCTCCATGCCCTTGCAGATCCAGCTAAGGAGAAACCACTGTGTCCCAATTCCAAATTTCAGAGAGGAAATAAACAGGCCAGCTTGAGGTCAGGGTTCCATCCCTAATTCCATTAGCCACGGTCTGGGCGGCAGGTCTAATAGTATGCAGTGCTGCAGCCTCCCCAGAAGTGAGCATGACAAAGAGGACCTTCTTAGAGGCAATAATCATGAATGCAAACATCTCGAATTTGAAACAAATCTTTCCAAAATGATTCCACCAATATAACAAAAGGTCTCAATGAGGAGAGTTTGGGTTGCCACAGTACTAGGGGAAACTCAAGGCAGAGCAATAACTGTACATATGTTTCTTGTGGGAAAAATCACATTTTGAAACTGGTGTGGGAAATTCACACCAGTTTCAAAAGGCCATCTGAAATCTGCACTTCAGGCCAACAGTAAAAAAGAGTGAATGCTAGCAGTTTGTGAAAACAAGAGTGAATCAACAAAAAAAAGTTTTTGAGTGGGTAGGATTCATCTTACTCCTCATCCTGCACTCGCTGTCACTGGTAAGCATGTGGCACAACCCCAGGGTCATGCAGAGTCCTGGGGCAGCCTGTGGGTGGAGCAGCTCTGGAAGCCAGGAGGCCTTGGTTCTCCTTCTGACCACACTGCTACTGAGCCACCAGATTCCGAGCAAGCCCCTACACATTCTGGCTCTGTGCCCAACTGTGGAGCTGGAGTGCTAGACAAGGGTTCATTCCCTCTCAGCTCTGAGACCCCACACTTAGGTCCCACAGTGACCAGTGGTTTCCAGTAGACACATTGACATTCTGACCCTGTCTTCCTTCTCTCTGACCAGTGGATGGTCTGGAGGAAACAAAGCAATGACTACAGACACAGTGGAAATAGCTTTCTACGGAAGCTATAAAAAGTTGGAAGAGACAGATCTATTTCTTCTCACCGAGTGTTTTCAGACATATTGGAATGGAGAGCAGGTTCCCGAGAGCAGGTCTCACTTGGAGGCCCTACCACAATCCCTGCCACTTTGTTTTCAAACAGCCCTTTGTAGCCTTAGCCCCCAAGTCTTCTGGAGAAAGCTTTTTCCTTTCATATGTCTGACCTTATGATTCATCTGGCTCCTGTTCTAAAACCAATTATTACGTATTGTCTTTTGAATTTCACCCCGACACCACTTTGTCCTGACTTAATTCTATGACTGGCTTTTATTCAAAACCTTCATTTTTTCAGGAAGGTGTAAGAGCTGCAAATGGCCTGCTTCTAGAAGCTGTGAGTTAAACAGCAGCTCTGGTGATCAAAACTAGAGAGCTAGCATTTCATATATGCTGTTAAACAAAATGTGTACTTGTTTTATGATGGGGCTGAAAGGAAAACCAAAAACAAGGACCTAAGCAATGAGAGATAGGGTTCATGACTTCAGAAGGAGTATTACCAAAGTTCCTCTAGGCCTCTCTATATTGTTCTCCTGCCCACACTATTGCCTGTTTCAGAACTTGCTCCCCATCTTGTATTCTTTCTGGGTTCACTCCCTGCACCCTGGACTTTAACCTCACTATACAATTATCCAACACATCTATTGAAGGTGATCTCTCATAAATGTCTCCCAAATCCACTCTCTCCTCTACACTCCCATCCAAATTGGTCTAGTTCAAATTTGCCTCCTCCCTCATCTATTCTATCATAAGCCATAGCTTCCAAATTGGACTCCTTTTTTCCAGTTCTCCCTACATCCAGTTCATTTTTCACAGTGCTTTCCTAAAACAAAGATCTGACCATACCACTTGCCAACTTCCAAACCCCCAGTCGTTCCCCAGGATGTGTAAAATAAATTCAAAGTTTTTGGAGAAGCATACTAGTCCCTCCACAATCTAACCCCAACCTATTGCTTCAGCCTCTTCTTTTTTCCCAATACACCTTCTCAGACAGCAGATGGTAGGGCCACTCCAGGCTCTGACTCATCCAGAACATACTGTGCACTTTCCAGCCTGTGCCCTTCCCCGTGTTGTTTCCTCTACTAAGGATGCCATTTTCTTGGCCCCCAGCCCCATCAAAACCTGCCTACCTCATACCCAACCTTCAGGCTCAAACATGACCTCCTCTATGAAGCAACCTCCATTTTCTCTCCAAGCACAGTTCCCAGGTCCCTCATGAGGTCCCCTGGTGCAGCACCTCCCAGTGCTGATTTTCTATTCCAATTAAATCAGAATGCCTGGGAAGGAAACCTCGGGGAGTCAGCTTTTTTTTTTTTTTTTTTTTTTTTCAGAGGCAGAGTGTTGCTCTATTGCCCAGGTTGGAGTGCAGTGGCGCAATCTCAGCTCACTGAAACCTCCACCTCCTGAGTTCAAGCAATTCTCCTACCTCAGCCTCTCAAGTAGCTGGGATTACAGGCATGCACCACCATGCTGGGCTAATTTTTGTAATTTTAGTAGAGACAAGGTTTCACCGTGTTGCCCAGGCTGGTCTCAAACTCCTGGCCTCAGGTGATCCACCCACTTCAGGCTCCCAAAGTGGTGGCATTCCAGGCATGAGCCACCGCACCTGGCCTGGATCAGCATTTCTTAAGGGCTCCCCAGTTCTTTTCATACGGTCCAAGTTTGAAAAGCCCTACCCAAGCATTTGGTTTATATGCTTTCTATTTTTCACATTTAATCAGTATTTATTTATTGAGCAAATACACCACATCAAACAGTTGTGCTATATGTGGGGATACGGAAATAAATCAGGCCCAATATAAAAAGTAATAATAACATTCAATATGTATTATACATTTTATCATGTTTTATAACAAAATGATACCTCATATTTTAGCTATTTGTACATGTCTTTCTATTGCTGTTCCTTGACAATAACTGTTTCTCATTTATCTTTGCATCCTTTAGCACTTAACACAATGACTCATATTCAATAAACAGACGGTGATTTCATTAATTAATATATTTATTAATGTGTTAACTTTTGGATTAATGTGAAGGAATGATATTTTAACTTCAAACTCATCTGGCCTGAAAGAAACAGGAAGTTGTCCTTGCATTGCTGACTCTGAAACTGGTCACACACCCTCATCTGAGAGACAAGGATGGGCCGAGACCTGACGCTGTCCTGTGCCCACTGCCTGGACAGAGGAGATCCTCCTGACCCCCGACCGAGCCTCCAGTGGGCCCTAGATGAGTTCACTGGCTTTTGACAAAGGCACAGACATATACTAACCTCTTTTTGCTCTTTAAGGAACTACAGTTTACCAAGTCAAATGATCTCCACCTTTTAAACACTCGTGCAGCACCTCTCACCCCTACACCCCACCTCCACTTCTAAAGGAAAGGCAAGGAGGAGGGCTTGTTTTTTGTTCTCAGGCCAGGAGAGGGAGGCTCAGAGCAGCTCGGTTTGGCGGAAGTTCAGGGTGTCTGCTGGCCCACTTCCTTGGCTGTGTGTGCTTGAGAGGGAAAAATGATAAGTACGGGGAGCCCTCCGGGAAATTTCATCCACGCATTCACAGAGGCATTGGATAAATTAAATGTTTCACATGCTGCAACAACCAGGGTTTCAACTTTCAAAGAAAATCAACATCCCTCTGAAGAAGTTCACATGAGTGAGTCATTTCTTAATGTTAAAGTTTCCTGATTTAAGGGCATCCCCCTTTAAGAAATTTGAGGACCCACAAACATTTTCCCAATGGCAAGGTCACATATGACAACATGATTGTCACATTCTGGGCACCCAAGCTTCACTGAGGTGAGAAATTAATAGAAATTACAATTGTAAAGTATCTATATTTTACAACATTTATCTTCTTTTCACTTTGTTGTAAATAAAGCTTTGAAAAGGAAACATTATTTTCATTGTGTTAGATTTGTCCCCATCTTTTTCTTTCACATCACTGAAACTCCCAACTCAAGGATGAAATAAAGAAAATCAACCTCAAAGCTGAACCTATCGATTCTACCTTCCTTTCGATTCTCCCCTTAAAATGCTTCAGATGAATAATATTTCACTTCTCAGAAAAGAGAAAATTGATATCTTCGGCAAGCCATAATGCAAATGAGCATTAAAAGTAACAGAGAAGCCACCTCTTTTAATGATTAGTTTTAGTCAGGGAGGGGATCTGCACTCAGTAAAATCTTGACACAGATAAAGTTTTACATTTTTGGCCACTTCCTACTATCATGCCACCAAGAATGTTCTGAGCCACAGCCTTAGGAAACAAGAGACCCCCCTACGGCCTGCCCAGGCCCACAGCTGAATGCCTCCTAGAGATTCGGTGGGTGTCTCCCACCGAGACACCCATCTCTCCCCTCCTCACCACCAAAATGTTTGTGTGTCTTCAGTCCCCCAGGGCCAGCCCCTTCACTGATAAATTCATCCCATCAATGTATCTGTGATTTAATGTAAGAGATTAGCATTTTAACAAGGGCCTTCTGGAAATGCCTTTATCCAAAAAAGAACTATAATGTGACAAGATGTCAAGCCATTGGGAAGACTCTGGGGTGGGGTGGGGGGACACACTCTCCTGGTGTATCCTACACATCACACGCCAGAAAGCCAGCCGCCTACTTCATATCCCCACAGTGCTGGCCCTGTTTGAAAGATTGAAAGTCTTTTTACACAGACTCTCTCAAAGGAAGTTGTCACTTTGGGCTGTGCAAACCAAAACTCTTCCAAAATCAGGTGCTTGGGGAAAAAAAATTGAAGTACTTTTAATAATTTAAATGGCTCTTCTCTGCACATGCCCAGAACCCGAATCCCTTTTCCAACTGAAGTGCTTATATAAAAATTTGACAGCTCTTATAATTTTAAATTGCTCTACACTGAGTATGCCTGGAACCTTGATCACTTCCAAATTCAAGGGCTTATAAAAATTTGAAGCACTCCAATAATTTTAAATTGCAATGCACAGTGTAGAGTGATTTAAAATTATTGGACTGCTTCAATTTCTTTAAAAGGTCT